>NC_000018.10:10610099-10910149 GCF_000001405.40 Homo sapiens
AGAGGCCTACTTATGTAATTGGTAAGAGTGTGATCTGATTAACTCTGTGAAAAATAATGTCAGTATTTTTTAAATTATAATTAAATTTATCGTAGCTCAATTATACCATTTTGAGATTCGTATACTACATAAAAACAAAAAAACAAAAACATTGGGGGGATCTATGTATATTGATGATTACTGGAAAGTCATTAGTGGTGGGAATTTTAAAAAATAAGCTTAATATCCATCTAACAGAGAATAAAGAAATCAGAACGTATCTATGAATTACTACACAACTGAAAAGAATACATTTAATCTACATTAATTGGAACTAGTAATGTCTACCACGTGTTATAAAGGGAACAAGTAAATCACTATATAATGTAGGATTTGAGCATGTTCTTTAAAACAAAACAAATCAATAAAGCCCTAGAAGGACCAACTATTGAAAGCCTGTCACAAAATCCAGAAATGGTAAGGAAAATATTGAAAATTTGACTATGTAAAAAGAAAACCTTCTTCAAAACAAAAACAATATAAACAAAGTAAAAGTTATGACACAGACCTTAAAAAAAACTCAGTAATTATATGGAAATAATAAATGTGCAGAACATATAAAGAATATCACTAAATGAATTAGAAAACTAGGAAAACGTATCATTATGAAAATCACAGGGAGAAATACAAACGGCCAACACACATACACAAATATGCACAATCTCCCTAATAAGTGGAGAAATCCAAATTAAAAGTAAAAATATTTTAAAATCATAAAATTGGCAAACATTGATAATTTCCTATGTAATTAAGGGTGTGGGGAAATAGGAATTCTCATACATTGATGGTAGAAGTATAAACCATTGATTTCTTTTTGGAACACAGATTTTTAATTTTATGAAAATATTAAACATTAACATTTGCTGCAGTATTTTATTTTTAGAAATCAATCATAAAAGGAAAAAACCACTTAACTAATGCAACAAAAAGGTGGATATACAGGGATGCCCAGTACAGCATTGGTAACAATAACAAATAACTGAAACTGACATAAAAATTCCTCAGTGAAAAAGTGACCAAATTGTGGTAAAATACCCTATGGAATAATGATGTAATTATAAATAATAATGAGAGAGACCTATAGGTACTGATAAGCAATAATCACCAAATTAAATCTTATATGGAAAAGCCAGTCAGTGAACAATATGCAAAGCAAGATCGTGTCACGGAAACATATGTGCATGTTTAACTGTGTGTAGGTGAATGCAGACGAGTGGGTGGGCTGGGAGGTGGTGGGGATACATTTATTCTATAGACCGAAGCACTATGTGAATTTCTATAACAATAACACGTGTTTCTTATGTAATTAAAAACAATTTACTTTTTTTTTTTTTTTCTTCTTGAGATGGAGTTTTGCTCTTGTTGCCCAGGCTGGAGTGCAATGGTGCGATCCTGGCTCACCGCAATGTCCGCCTCCTTGGTTCGAGTGATTCTCCTGCCTCAGCCTCCCAAGTAGCTGGGATTACAGGCATGTGCCACCATGCCTGGCTAATTTTTTGTATTTTTAGTACAGACAGGGTTTCTCCATGTTGATCACGCTGGTCTCAAACTCCCAACCTCAGGTGATCCACCCGCCTTGGCCTCCCAAAGTGCTGGGATTACAGGCGTGAGCCACCATACCTGACCAATTTAATTTATTGAATTGTAAAAAGGTGTGTTTAACCCTATATAAATGTATGACTATATGGAGATAATTATTATTCATCTGAATAAAATAAAACAGCAATATAAAAACACAAATAGGTAACAGTACAATATTACTATAGTATCCAATCCAATATTAAAATTATATACATACACATAGAGGCAGGTAGGGCTGCCAACAAATGGTCTTCATGTCTAAAATTGTGGTAATTGTTGCAGAGACTTCTGTGACTATATTGGAAACCTTGGAATTGTACACTGTGTGGGGGTGAAATTTATGGCATTTTAATTATATCTCGAAAGTTCTGTTAAAAAAATGAGTGGCTTAATATTCTGTTAAGTAAGGAATGGTTTTATTTAAAACATAAATTAATAATTTCCAGTGGATTCCCTTAAAAAGATTACAGCAGGGATTTCCAGATCGAACCCACCCCCACCTCTAGAGTTTTTGGCTGTTTTCTAAAGTCTTGAATTCAATGAGGTGAAGGAGGAAGAAAGTGTTTAGGAAGTCAGTGGGTTCCAGAAGAGCTGGTGCTGGGTGGGGCAGAGTGGTGAGAGATGCTCCTTTCAAATGGAAGGCTCTGGAACCCGCCAAAAGGGAGTGCAAGCTGGGGCAATCTTCCTGGACAGCCACCAGAGAAAGGCGTCAGACCCCACCCTCCCGCTGACATCCACAGACAGGGACATCTCACTGGCTTTTAAAATCATCAACTCTTTTTATATTGACACAAAGAAATAATGAAAAGGGGAATTCTGGTTTACAGTCATTTCATTAAATTATCCAAAACAACTTTTGAAACAAAAGTTATAAAAGTGAAACTCAAAATTATTCTCTGCTTAATAAATACTCTCAGTGGCTCAGATATAGTTCAGGCAAACTAGCCATTGATGCAGCCAAAGCCAGGGGGTGGAGGGGGTCCCGGCGTGCTCCAGGAGGCCTCTCCGGTGAGTCCGGCAGCTGTTCCCTCGGCGCTGCAGCCCTCTCTTTGCTCAGCTGGGGGCCTCTATTTTGTAAACCTCAGAATAAGTCATAAGCCCCGTGAAGACATCCAAGATATTCCTTAGGGTTATCTGAAATAAAGAAAGAGCAATTCTTCTAAAACATGAGACAGAGAATTCCGATTTCAGCTGACGCTGGCTGTTCCCTGTCAAAGCAGCACACGTTACTGAAGAAAGTGAACACCCCCTTGAAAGCGGTGAAGAAACCTTGAGAATATCATTAAATTATAATTAAATTTTATTATATGAAAATAGAAAAATTTTGTATCACCTAAAGTTCAATAAAGTGCAAAAGATACATGGTAAACAGGAAAAACAAAACAAAACAAAACAAAAAAACAAAACAGGCCTGGCATAACACAAAGGTGTTATTACCCTTAATATATAACAAGTCTCTAAAAATAGGGAAGAAAAGACTACCAACAAGCCCATGTAAGCATGTCAGAGACATGAACAAACAGTTCAAAGAAAAACAAAAGAACAAATGGCTTTTAATCTCATTCAAAATGTGAAAAAGTTCACATTAAAACTATACTGAGAAACCACTTCAAGACAAAATTTTAGAAGTTTCACATGTAACTACGTTAGTGTGGCTGTGCCCACATTGTTGTGAAGAAAGCTGACTCAGCACCTGTGGAGAGGAGTTTGGCAACATCTAGCAAAGCTGCATAAGCACTAACACTTTGACCCATCGTCCAACATCTCAAAATCTATCCCAAAGTAGACTTGCAAAATATGAAGACTCATGCACAGGAGCATTGGCTGCAATATGAGAAAATGTAGACCATAGTTCTAAACTCAAATCTCTGTAAGAATCACAATGAAATTAAATAACACTTACTAATAAATAATAAAAATTGCCCAAACTGAAAATTGGGAGATGCAGCAAAGAGCATTATGTGAGAGCAATCTATGAGATGAGTTATTGAAATTAGGAACTTGACACTTTTGGAGGCCAAGGTGGGAGGATCACTTGAGGTCAGGAGTTTGAGACCAGCCTGCCCCACATAGTGAAACCCCGTCTCTATGTCTTTACTGAAAGTACAAAAATTAGCCAGATGTGGTGGTGCACGCCTGTAGTCCCAGCTACTGGGGAGGCTGAGGCAGGAGAATCGCTTGAACCCGGGAGGCAAAGGGTGCAGTGACTCGAGATCCTGCCACTGCACTCCAGCCTGGACAACAAAGCTTGACTCTGTCTCAAAAATAAATAGGAAAGAAAGGTAAAAATTAAGTATACAACTTAAGTTAGAAAAAAATAACATCAGAAGAAATCCAAATAATGTAATGGAAGGATAACAGATGAGAAGAGAAATTAATGAAAGAGAAAATAAGGACAATAGCGGGAAGGGGTAACAGAGCCAACAGTTGTTTTTGAGAAAAGTGTATTATCAAGAAAAAAAGAGAAATCACAAAAATTCATATCAGAACTTAATAAAAAGACATAACTATAGAGGTAGCAGAGATTACAAAATGGACAATCAGTGGATATTATGAGGAAATTTATGCTGAGACATTTAAAATGTGTACAAGATAGATAAAATCCTAGAAGGCATAATTTTCTAAAATGAATTCATGAAGAAAAATCCTAAATACTTCAATAGCCATTATATAAATTTAATTAGTAGTTAAGAAGTATCTTTCCTCATCTCCATCTTTCTCTCCCTTTCTTTACCCCAGCTCCACCTCCTGCCCCCTACACACCCCTAATAGTATTAGTGGCTAAATACCAAAATTACAATGGAGTTGGCATTCAAATCTGATTGAAATATTTCCATGAAATTGATGAAAGGGGCTAGTTACAATTAATTTGATGAAAACACTGTAATTTTAATACCAAACCAAAAAATTAAGTATAAAAAGAAAAACTGTGCACCAATCTTATTCAGGAGCACTGACATCAACTCTCCAAAGCAGTGGGAGGCAATGACCATGCCTCAAATGTGAAGAATCAATACAAACAGTACAGTTAGTGTACAGCTCAAAACAGCATATCCTGAAACGCTCAACCTTATACCTAATATTTAAAAATATTTGGAACACACAGAGCCATGGGAATGGCTTTTGGAGAAATGTTCATGAAGGAAGAAAGATTACAGCTAAGTTTAAAAATACTGTTACAGTTTTGTTTGCTTGTTTTGTCTTGAAGAGGAGGTAAAAGTTGGAGTAAAAACAGGGAGTTTGGGCCAGGCGCGGTGGCTCACGCCTGTAATCCCAGCACTTTGGGAGGCCGAGATGGGCAGGTCACGAGGTCAGAAGATTGAGACCATCCTGGCCAAGGCAGTGAAACCCCGTCTCTACTAAAAATACAAAACAAAATTAGCCGGGCGTGGTGGCAGGCGCCTGTAGTCCCAGCTACTCGGGAGGCTGAGGCAGGAGAACGGCGTGAACCCAGGAGGTGGAGCTTGCAGTGAGCCGAGATCGCGCCACTGCACTCCAGCCTGGGTGACAGAGCGAGACTCCGTCTCAAAAGAAAAAAAAAACAACAAACAGAGAGTTTGGTGTAAAGTGGGAAAAGCAAAGAAACCTGCATGGATGGGCTGAAGGGTGTGCTGGGAGAAGAGTGAGAAATACGTCTGGGGAAGAAATTGGAGATGGAGGTTTAATCCCAAGTGATCCAAAGGGATGTATTGAAGAATTGATGTGTGACTAGGAACAGGGAGGTTATGGAATTGATCGTCAACCCAACAGTGGGCACTCAGTTCCACTAATGAATGAGGACTGTGAGGACAGACAGACTGAGGGGCAGGCAGATGAAGGCGTGGGTTGTACATAAAACAGGTCCACTCGATTGTTGACAAGAAACTGTTTTCAAGTTCCGTTTTGCCATGCATGGAATAGCTTTCCATTAGCTGAATTTAGTGACATATAAAATCATTAAACTAAGGCAGACACCCAGAGTTCCCACATGAAAACCAAGTGTAAACCGGCTGTGACCCACTTCAACACCATCATTGGAGATCAGAAGCTGAGCCCTTTTCTGATGTTTAAAACCTGCATAATATTCAGTGTATTATTATTTGTGTATCTATTTCCTTTGTGATGGAAATTTGGTTTGTCCCAATTTTCTATTTTATTAAAACATTGCTACATAGAAAGTCCCCTTGCATATATTTCTCCTAATGGTAGAAATATTTTACATAAAAGACTCTAGAAATGGGATGAGATCCATGGGTTAGGAGAATTTTAAAACAGATAGGTCCTCCCAAATTGCCCTCTTACAAATCATACAAATTCATATGCTTCTAGCAGTTACAGAGAGTGGGTGTTACCCCCCATCCTCACCAACACTGAATGTTACACATGAGAGCTGAGTATCCCTTATCTGAAATGATTGGGACCAGAAGTGATTCCGATTTGGGTTTTTGCAGATTTCAGAATGTTTACATTATATATGCTTACTGATTGAGAATTCCAAATCCAAAAATTTGAAATCTGAAATGCTCCAGCGAGCACTTCCTTTGGGCATCATTTAGAAGCTGAAAATGTTTTGGGTTTTGGAGCATTTTGGATTTCAGATTTTTGGATTTGGGATGCTAACCTGTATTAAACATCTGTGACAACCTGAAAGACAAAAGCACACCTCAGTGTTTTATTTTGCTTCTTTCTGCTCACAGTTTCCATGAACTTTTTTTTATCTCTGTGCTGGTGCATGCTGTGTGTGAAATGCTACTCACCCACAAACAGGTCCAGCCCAGATGACAGCTCTGCTGGGAAGTCTTTCCCATTCTCATGGGGAACTCTGTTTACTTCCTGATATCCAAAAAGAACGGTGCAAATATTCCTCTCAATTGCATTGTGAGGTTTTCCTTTAAAAAAATTTTATGTGGAGCCCATTTTCTAATCCTTTATTCCTTATGTCACTGGTTCCTTGTACAGATTAGGTGCAAATATTATTTGATTGGATGACTGAATGATACCACAAGTTCCTTCTAGCTCTGGGAATCTGTGTTGCCATGATTCTACTGGCCTGGGACCTGTACATGAGCAGCAGTTTTAAAAAGCAAAGCTCCTATCTTTAAATAAAACCATAAATTCCTTACTCATTACTCACACCTGTATCAGGAACAGGTTTGGATGCAGGGGAAATTCCAAGGATGACGGGTATGGATCCGAAAAGACAGTGATGTCCAAGTACAGGCGGTGCACTCCACAGGTCATCTCGGACAGTCACTGGAAGCCAGGCAAAGTCTGTGGTCTCATGGCCACAAGCCCAATGATTTGACCTCAGAGGGTATCCTGCATTAGAAGCAAGAATGAATCAGAGATTTGAGGAAATAGGAGAGGTCATAATTGTCACCATGCCTGCTTTCTCAACCTAAGGACTGACAAGCATCTAGCCTTGAGCCAAAAAGGCTGCAAATACATGTGTATTTAGTAGTGGGCTGTTGCACTCCAGAGCTGGAACACGGCTTTGTACTTTGATTCTCCAGCCTCCAGGAGACTCATAAATCCTGCACTCCATGATCCAAAATGGTGGGTTTCCTTGAAAAATGTAATTAATATAATTAATTATACATAGATTCAAAAATATTCACTTTGTAGAATAAACAGAACTGACTTTTGTTATACAGTTTAGAAAGTTGATATTAGGTGGTTTTCACAGTTCCATTAAAATTTTTGATAATTAAGAGCTTTTATTTACTTTCAAAATTTGGTGGTAATCCTCAGTCTTCCTGTGTAAGGAATTACATTTAAGAAAAACAGTATTGCATAAAGGCAAGCAGAGGATTTTGAGAGATGAAGATAAAGACAAAGAGATATTAATGTCGCTGAACCTGACCAACACCTGAAAATAATAATAATAATGATAAGGGTACATCTAGTGCTCCAGGGCTTCATTAAAAAAAAAAAAACCTTAATTGTCTCAGGAATCTCAAAAATAAGGTAGAATTATAATACTTTTACATAGATTCAAGGGATTTGCTCAAGATCACAATTCTATTCAGTATCAGAGTAAGGACTGGATCCAAGCATCCTGACTCCCAAATCTGTGCTGCTGAGCACTGTGCTATGTATAAATATCACAGATCATAAGAAATAGAAACACCTGACTACAGGAACGCCCTCTATATTTACACACTTTGGTGAGCATTAAGAAATGGGGCTACTGCAATGAAATTGAGATGAGCTTGGGAGGTCAAAAGGAAGCATTCTGCTACTCCAGGTAAATGAACATTGTGGTTTGCTCATTCTAACATGGAAAAAAAATTTCTAATGTATCTACCCTTTAATTAACTCTTCCAAAAGAAGAAGCTGGAAGACAGATGCAATTAAAGGCTCAAATGGAATTATCTCTACCTAACGGAAGAGTTGCCCATTTTGTGAAACTGTGCTAGAAGGACCCAAACAATGCTGATGACAATTATCAGGATGATAAGCAACCTGGAAAGACAACGAGTGATGTAAATCATAGACAAGTCATGATAGGCGCCTCCATCGTGCTTCAGTGCTTGCATTCATTCTTGTGCTATTTTATTACTTTTACCAAACAAAACATAGCTCCTTGACATCACATGAACCTATGCCTAATGAGAATCAGTTAGTAAAATGCCCGTGACTAGTAATCTTCACCTATGCAATTAAACATTCATTCATAAAATAGTTCAAATGTAAGCGAATGTGTTGAATGAAAAGTACATTAATACATTAATTAGAAAAAACATTCTATTAAAAAGAAATTATTTGTATGATAAAAGAGATCACCATTTTTGTACTTTTTCACAAACTTACAGAAAACTAAGTCAGCTTACACAGGTGAATCTTAAAAACCTCTAACCCAGAATGTAAAGTACATTGGCCAAAAATGCCAGCCTAACGCATTTCAATACTACAGGATGCATGTAGGTAGAACTAACCGAATAAAATACTGGTAGTCAGTATAATCCTATCTGTGGTTCCTGGGGTCCAGGGAGAATGAGTTTGTCACCTTCCCACCTCCCATGAGCCAGTGTTTTTTCCGTGAATAATAAAAACAGCAGGATTTACTTGCCTGTCCAGAAAAGGTCATCACTTCTGTGTGTTCTCCTGAAACAGGTGGTGGCTGGGTGAAAAGGCGGACAGCATTAGGGCTGGAGATGGAGGCTCCAGAATCTTGGATGAGCTTCTGAAACCTCTGCAACTTCCAGCCACTAAATGGAATGAGCCACGGAAAGCTTTAGCCCAATGCCCAGAACAAGATCAGGGTTTAGTGCATGGCACTGCTCTCCTTGTAGTTCTGTCATCAGCCGCCACACATCCATCAGGAACACACATCCTGAGTTACTCTATTTATAATAAGCACAAACTAAAAGAGAGCGAACTCTGGCACACAAGGTTGTAGTGGCTAGCTTTGGAAAGGAGGAGATACAAGGACAGTTTTGGGGTGCAGGTAACTTCTAGTTTTTGACCTGACTTGTAGTTACATGGGTTCTCACTTTGTGATAAGTTACAGAGCTGTGTATTTAGGTTTCATGTGTTTTCTGTATGTATGTTGTACTTTAGATTTTTAAATGTTTCACAAAATACTATGACAGTATATGGTCTATTGAAAATGTGGAAGGAGAAAAAGACTCTGTGGTCCATTCTGTCACTTGCCAGCCCCTGGCTTCAGGCCCAGATGGCTCTAGGTGTCCTGGGTTGACTGAACTCTTGCAGCAGCCTCTTGGAATGAGCACCTTCCCCCACTCTGTCCTTTGGTAACATGGGCCCATCCCTAATGGCTGCATTTGATAAACTCATCTGTGTTAGTGTGTGGATGACTCATCTGTTACCTCCTTCATGTGATGTATATAGGGACATCTGGATGGTGCATTCACCTGTCAGAGCAGGTGAGAATTGCATCCCTCATGAAAAACATGAATGAAGTTTTGTGAATATGTGGTTAAACGTCGGGAGTGTCAGCAAAAGTCAGGTACAATTAGAGACACATAAAAGGAAGAAAAACAATTTCATTTAAAAATTGGGCCTTAGTTTTTGTAGGTGGAAAGAGATAAAATTAACCTAAATGTCTTCTCCTGTCTCTAGCACTCTAGCACTCTGATTAGTTTCACTGGAACCAACCACTGGAGCCTCTAATCTGCTTCTCCATCCGCACTTCTCCAAGAGCATTCTAGGCAGAGCCCAGGGGGCCCTCGGCAACCCCCTGTGAGGAGGAGCTCGGTCTCTCTCTCTCTCTCTCTGACACCTGCTTCTGGACCTTGGTGTGGAAGTCCATGGAGAAGGGGTGCTGCCACTACTGAGGCTGGAGGTCAGAGGCTCATCAGAGAGGCTACCCTGACCTCCTAGTCCTGGGGCCAGCAGAGGGTGCAAGCACTGGCTAGTGGCTGGGTGCTATGACCCATGAGGCATACATAGAAACCAAGTCAGCATTTTGTTGATCTCCCAAAAAGGCTTCGATTTTCTTCACTATTCATAATAATGGCAGAAAATTCATTTTAGGAATATTTTCAATAATTATTGTCACCTGACGAGTAAATTAAACTACTACAAACAATCTGATTACAGAGCAGTGAAAGTCAATTCAGTTCTCCAGCTGTCTCAGGGGGACCACGAAGTGGCAGTGCATATTCGAATACCTACTCAGGCAGAAATGTCACCAAATGCAGCCAGTGCATCTTATCCAATTCCCATTTACCTCATTCTACCTCAGCCTCCAGTACCCTCTCCATACTCTATGGACTTCCTCCAGTCCAAGCCACTCACCAAAATGGGACACCCAGACCCAAATGACTCCAAAAATCCAGCAGGGAGGTTGAAGAGCGAGGTGAGCAGAGCAGCAAACACACCAAATATCCCTGCCTCTGACCACTGCACAAGCACTTCTGTCCCTCTGGCCTTCTGTTTTTACCTCCAGACATAATGGATTTCTAGTTTTTCATGTTTCTCTACACCTTAGAAACATTCCTCAGAATTCATAGCCTGAAAGGGATGTCCTCAGTTCATGGCTTGCCTGTGTACAGAATGGGGCTGATCTTCCCTGGCCTCCCTGTGAGAAACATGGGAAGCAGCTTCAGGAACTCCCCCCAAGGATGCAGGCGGCCTTCATGTGCAACTCCTCCATGTCTCATAGGCAGTGCTGTACAATACCTTGCCAGGAACACACAACATACTCATGAAACCACCAACCACAGGAGATTTTAAAGGTGAGTGTCTCTACCAAGTGTTTACCATTACAGTAAGAAATGATGTCATGGCTGCTGGAAAACAATGGGCTTTGGCATAAAACATGGACTTAACTCCCTGGTCCTCTTAGATGAGTGTTTCACCTCTAGAGTGTCAGATTTCTCATCTCTAAAGCAGGGTTGTCTCTTGCAATCCTAGAGGAAAACCAGAGGTTAATCTTCCTCAGGAGCACAGACGCAATAAACAGAGTAGAAAGTACTGATCCTTAAGTCAATTTGAAGAATCAAAACCAAACCAAAGAAAACAAGGCAATCAATGTATTGTGCAAGATGACATGGCATATTGTGAAACCTTTTCAGTGGTTTTAAAATATTAGGGGAAAAACAAGCTCTGGGAGTGGCTACTGGAGAAATTTTCATGAAAGATGTCATGCTAAAACAAAATATTAAAGAATAGACAACTTTTTTTCCCTCTTGTGTAGGTGGTGGAAATATTCTAGTAAGCTTGTTATGAAGTGCAGGAGCCCACCTGCCTGATTGAGCTGGAGGGGGTGTTGGGGGATAGCAATCCACAGTGTTGGAGAAAGTGGGCTTGATGCTTATCACAATCAAGGTCAACTTATGAACACTTTAATATGTGACTAGAAAGAACAGGAGAGTCTGTAATGCATTACCACCTCAGGAGTTGGCACTGAGTTCCATGGTTGGATGATGGGTAGATGGACAGACAGATGGACCGGTGGATAAATAAGTAGACTTGACATGAGTCAAGTGTTCTTGGCTTCTGGGAAGAAAATTTTTTAAAGTTTCCATTTTCTACAAATCTAAACAGCTTCCTCTGTAGCTGAATTTAGTAGCATTTAAAAATCATTAAACCAAGACAGAGCTCCTACATATAAACCAAATGCAGGCCAGATATTACCTACATTGCACTACAGCAGAAGCAGGATTGGACCCTGGCTGTCTGACACAAACACCTGTGTTCTTCTGCACTGTGCCATGGGAGACAAAAACATTTCATAAGAAATAGAGACTAGAATATGTATGTGCTATGTATTTACACACATAGATGACAATCAGGAATTAAGGCTAACCACATCTGGGCTTTGAGTCATATAAATAGGTTGGGAAAGATGCATTTTACTACCCTATTGAAAGAGACCATTTATTTCTCACTCCAGCAGGAAAAATGTTTTTCAGTATTCACTTATCTGCTCATTGGCTTTTTACTATAGACCAGGAGATGGATAGCCCGAAAATAGCCCCAATTGGAGGCCCAAGGTCATGAGCAATTGACTCAATGTAATGGAAGAGTGGAGCACTCGGAGATACCTGTACTAATGGGACCCACATGATGTGGGTGAGAACTATTAGGATGAGAAATAACCTGGGAATGTAATTAAATATTCAAATATTAAACAGAACACAATTGAAATCTCCATTGTGCTTTAGTTTTTGAAGTGATTCTTGCAGTCATCATTGCCTTTCCCAAACAAAGCAAGCTACTTGATATCACATGAACCTGTGCCATGAGGAATGATGATCAGTTTGTAAAATGCCAAAAAAGCTATTGTTTGCCTACATTAGTCACAATATTTTATCTACGTATTTCAATTTTTATCTAGGTATTTCAATTCAACACATGTAAATACAGTTCAAATGTCAGAAATTATCTAGTACATATTTGTAATATATCAATGAGCAATAACCACCACACTACTACTCTTAAGAATCATTTGATGAAAAAAGCAGACTCCCATTCTTGGATTTTTCTCAGTTTACACACATTACTTACTATGACAGCCCCATGTCCACCAGACATGTGCCCAGGAGAAGAACAGAACTGTAAGCTTTTCTTATTAACTTAATTTCTAAATGTATTACATATTTATGGTTAGAAATTATTCTAAATATCTGAAAGGGTTTGAAAGGAAGTTTCCCTTCCACTCTGAACTCCCAAACACCAAGTTAGCATTTTTGTTTGCATATCATCCCTGCACTGTATCTGCAAATACAGACAAGCACCAGGAACGCATGCTTCTGCATGATTATATTTAAACAAAGTCTTCTGTAGCTCTGCATATATCACTGGTCAATGCATCTTAGCTACCATTCTGCATTTCAAATGTAAATCCATTTCATTATTTAAGAGCTATAAAGTAATCTTGCTATTGAAACCATGCTGCAGTGAACAGCTTTTTCTGCATCGCTCCTGGCACTCATGCATGATTGTATCTGGTGAAGCATTCCTGGAAGTAGGATGGCTAGAAAGTTACACTATCTTTAACCTTGGCAGAACCAAACTGCCTCCTGAAGAGGTCATGTGAGTCAACAACCCCCTGGCCATAATTTTGGCTTTGTGTTTCACTCTAAGTTTAATCCATGTGACATGAGTCCTAAAGGCACTGACAAATGAGTATTGCAGGATAAGGGGCACAGCTGAAATCATAATTTTACTACTTCACAAATTTCAATAGTTTAGTTTCCTCCGTTTGTAAATGTTAAAAGGAAGCATTACAGAAAGATTACAATTCAAAATGATTGATATATTAATTTTTTTTTAAGAGACAGAATCTTGCTCTGTCACCCAGACTGGAGTGCAGTGGCATGATCTCGGCTCACTGCAACCTCCTCCTCCTGGGTTCAAGCAATTCTCATCCCTCAGCCCCCTGGTAGCTGGAACCACAGGCATGTGCCCCCACATCCAGCTAATTTTTATATTTTTCTTTTTTTTTTCAGAAAATTATTTTAATAGTTACAAAACTTTTTTTTTCAGAATCAGTATAAAATAGCAGTTGATTTCTCCATAATTATCAGAATTATTTATACTTGAGGTCTTGGCTAAGTGGGGCTGAAATCAACAAAACGTCTTGGACTGTTGGCTCAGAAATGGTCCTAGAAAACCCGCCCTGTTGATATCTGTCATGCTTAGCTCTCATGAGATGAGCCAGTCCTAAAAATAAAAAAATAAATTAAAAAAAACAAAACTTTTTATTCATTCTTTTGCGGCTTGAAGTGAATTTGGCAGCGTTCATTAAACACCTTCCAGCTCCTGTCATTTGCCACTTCTTCAACATTCAGTTCTGACTGCATCCATTTCAACTTTGTCTGCTCTTTTCTAAGTTGCTTTAATAACGTTAAATCATCCAAATTCTTTTCTCTCTCTTCTCAGAGGTTTTTTACTACTGCTGAAGTCTGGGCTATACAATTTTTTTGGACTCTGTCTCTACTGGCATGAGCTGCCATCAAAGACTCATAAAGTTGTTTACAGGTTTGGCTGGCATCAATTTTCCCTGCAAAGGAAGGCGTTGGAACTGTAGTGTTTAATTCATGTACTATTCTGTCATCGATAGGCCTCATCACCTTGAGTAATTCCTGGAACTCGGCGAACTCCTCACAGTTCACACCGCCACTGGGTGCCGCCATATTGGACCTAGTTTTTATATTTTTCATACAGATGGGGTTTTGCCATGTTGACCAGGTTGGTCTCAAACTCCTGGCCTCAAGTGATCTGCCTGCGTCAGCCTCCCAAAGGGCTGGGATTACAGGCATGAGCCACTGTGCCCGGTCATATTAATGTTTGTAAATGGAAAATGTGTGCATTGCTCAGGAAAAAGTAAGCTACCACCACTTATCTGTTCGAGATGCCTGATGGTGTGCTGAATTTGATTACGAAAATTAACATAATTAGAATAAGATGAAGTTTCTTTTCTTTGTTACATTTTAAAAATAAAAGGCTATTCAAATGAAAGACTAACCAGAGTAATTCAACTCTTAATGAGAGATAAAACTAAAACTTGACAAGGATTTGGAGAAATGGCTACTCTCGTAGGCTGTTAAAGGAGCATAATTTAATGTAACCATTTAGGAAAAAGTTTGGTGTTATTAATGAAAATAAAAGATATGCACCCTTCTCACAATCTTCTCAACAGAAATGGGTGCCTGTATTATTCAAAAACATTGACAAAAATGCTCAAAGCAGCATTATTTGTGATAGCCAAAATTATAAAAAAAATCCTCATATCCATCAATAGTAGTGGATAAATTACAACATGTGACCGCAGTGGAATACTATACGGTGAGGAAACGAAAGGGCTATGGTTATGCTTAACTACCTGACTGAATCTCTAAAACAACGTGAGCAAAGAAGCCAGACACCAAGCAATACATATTGACTTCTTCTATGCATAATTATGCAAACCTGGAGAAGTCTAAACAGGGCATTAGAAGTCACAGCAGTCACCTTCAGAAGGGACCCAAAGGTGGCTAGTGGGTCTGGAATACTGACCTGACTAGGGGTGCATGGGTGCTCATTTTGTGAGGAATCACTGAGCTGTACATTCGTGTTTTCCCTGCTTTCTATACGTGTGTTAAAATTTAATTTTGAGATGTTTTGCAAATTCCTGTGACAACATAGGTCTATTTGAAAATTGTGACCGGAAAATGAGAAAATGTCAAACATCCTTTTTGGCTGCTGCCTTTCACCCCACTGCCTTCAGGGACCCTTGGCCTGACTTGACAAAGTACCCTCTTGAAATTAGTCCCTTCTGAGTCTGTCCTTGTCCATCATGTCCAAACTCACTGAATGCCATTGGTAAACACTGTAGTAATGTGTTAATGGCTGGATACTGCTTTCATAGAATATGCATGAACTGTGTAGAGGCAATGCATTATCCCACAGAGAAGGTGCAAATTCCATTCTCTATGAAGACACTGATGGATGGTCCTGAGGACCCCATTTAGGGCAGAGAGCATAAGTAGAGGAAGAAATAAGAGATGGTAAGGGGCCGGGTGCAGTGGCTCACACCTGTAATCCCAGCACTTTGGGTGGCTGAGGTGGGCGGATCTCAAGGTCAGAAGATCAAGACCATCCTGGCCAACATGTTGAAACCCCATTTCTACTAAAATATAAAAAATTAGCCGGGCATGTTGGCATGTGCCTGTAGTCCCAGCTACTTGGGAGGCTGAGGCAGGGGAATCGCTTGAACCTGGGAGGTGGAGGTTGCAGTGAGCTGAGACGAGATCACACCACTGCACTCCAGCCTGGGTGACAGAGCGAGACTCCGTCAAAAACAAAAGACAAAAAACAAACAAACAAATAAACAAAAAACAAAAAAACAGGGACATCTGTAATGATGAAGAAACTACTATTTTTTCATTGGGGTTAAAGGTATAACCCCAATTTTTGTATCTGGGAAGAGAAAAAGTTGAATTAAATGTTCTCTGCTATCCTTCCCCACTCTAAAACTCTGTAGATAATTCCAATGGAACCCCATTGAGGGGTTCCAATTTACTTTTGTCTGCACTTTTTGCAGAGAAATCTCAGGGAGAAAGCAGGGCTGTCTTACCTTCCACCTCTAAGGAGTTCTCTTGTGCTCTTTTACTCCAGTGTTGGCTCCAGGACCTTGGGTAGAGGGTGCTGGTGATATGAGGTGGTCCAGGAGCTCATGAGGAAAAGCAAATGATAGGCAGCATCAGAACTCAGAGTTCTGGGTCCAGTGGAGCCCTCGGGCTGCCTCAAGGGAAGCCACTTAGTTTTCTATTTCCCTATGTAAAATAAGACTCCTCCAAAAATAAAACTGTCACCTGTAGCACTAAGTTACGTGCTATCACACGAGATCATGTGGAACTTCCTGCGTATTTCTTGTTGATCCAAGAAGTCTAGATTTTAAGGTCTAAATATCAACTTAGAGGACAACTACTGAAGCCTAATTTTGGAGGAGAGGAAAGAGTGCAGGGCCACCTTTCTTTAGGGAGAAACTCTGGGCTTCCTGAGAAGTTAGAGAACTGGGGAAAATGAAACCACAGCCCAGAGCCTGCGATAGGGGTGGGGAGTGGAGGCTGGAGCTGTGCTCAAGGTCAGGCTTCTCCTCTCCCCTCCCAGGGCACTGGAGCTCCAGCAGTGAACCCAGAGTGAATATTCGCTCTGTCATCCACCCTGGGCAATCCCTTTAAACCAGGAGTCAACAGCGAGGACAGAAACATGAATGTGCTTTTAAAAGTCCTAAAAGTTCAGAGGATGATCATCAAGGTTTCCTACAGCCCTGGGCAAACCCTAGGAGTACTTTGTCTCCAGGTTCAAGCATGTGCCTGTGAGAGGCGTGGCCCTCACCTTCCCTCCACCACAGGTTGAGGGAACCCTAAACCTCTTTTGCACAATATCAAGGAGTGCTGACTAATCCAACGCAGAAGCTGTGATGTTTGGCAGATGCAGAGGCAGAAAAGGTGTTTTGGGAAAGATCATCTTTAAACAACACGGCACCCTCATAGCCCATAGAGACAGTTCTCACCACTACGCCAATAAACTTGGAAAAGACCAAACCAAACTTTACACATATTTCCTTTTTCTTTTTGATTCTATGCCCCCTCCCTCAGCCTCCCAAGCAGCAGGAATACCCTGAAGGGCCCTGGGAACCCTTGCCCACTGAGTCCCACCTGGAAAGCAGTTCCCTAGCTGGAGAGTCCTCCTCATCAGTTATGCTCTCCAGCACCCACACTGGAGAAACACAAACAACAGGAGAAGTCATTTGAGAGAGGCTACCCACTCCTAGTCCCGCTGAAGCCCCACTGCCTCACACAGGATTCCCTGGTCTTTCCTCTGGGTTCACAGATATTCCTGCAGCCTCTCTGGCCATAGCTTTCTACTGGAAAGTCATTTGCTCTCACCAGGCCCGTAATGCTCCTTCCCAAAGGAACCCAGAATCAGGTTTCCGTACACTAGATCCAGCAAGTTTGTTCCTCAGGAAGTGAGCCATTTCAAGGTAAATACTCCCCTCTGAGGTTGATGGCATCTGCAATTATAGAACACATTAGGAGGATTAGATGATGCCACGCATGTCACACATATCTGTTATTCTCTTGGCAACTTTAGAAAATTGTAAGTATAGTGGTAGAGTCAAAGGTCAAAGTCCCCCAAAACTAGCACAAAGTACACCTACAGAAAAGACAAGAACTTTTCCAATAGAATTTACCTTTAAGGTTTATTTAGATGGGCAGTTTCACAACTCTTTTTTATTTTTATTTTTATTTTTTGAAGGAGTCTCGCTGTCCAGGCTGGAGTGCAGTGGCTTGATCTCGGCTCACTGAAACCTCCGCCTCCCGGATTCAAGCGATTCTCCTTCTTCAGCCTCCCAAGTATCTGGATTACAGGCACATGCCACCAAGCCCAGCTAACTTTTGTATTTTTAGTAGAGACGGGGCTTCATCATGTTTGTCAGGCTAGTTTTGAACTCCTGACCTCAGGTGATCCGCCTGTCTTGGCCTCCCAAAATGCTGGGAATACAGGTGTGAGCCACCGGACCCAGCCACTTTCACAACTCTTAATCCATGGGGAAAACTGCTGCTGAGGGAAAGTCCTCTGCATTGCAGTGGATAGGGAATGCTGCCATCTACAAGGCCCCAGTATGCCAGGTGTGGGTTGGTGAGAGGCTGCCAACCAGTACCACCCAGCAAGGGAACTGTGGACATCATAGATAATGCACCCTGTCAGATTCCCATGTGTATATTTGACTGGAAAGGAAAGCAGCCAGGAAAGTAACATTTCGGTTTAAGACCAAGAAAAGTGTCTTACATTGCCAGCATCTTCTTTTTTGCAGATGTCTCCTACAGCACCCTCAGGAGGAGCTAGGAGAACACAGAGTAAGGGTCAGTGCCCTGGTGGTGGCAACTGTGTCACCCAGAGAGCTTTGCTTGGTGTGGTACATGGAGGTAGCTGATCACAGCATGCGCCAACCTGATGCTGGGCCATGCTCCAGGTGGAAGGAGGAGGGCAACAGAGAGAGCAGGAGGGAACTGAGACAAGGAGGCCTAGGCCTTGTCCTTGTCCTAAGGCATCATGAAGCAGCACAAAGGAGTAAACCCAAAATGGACCTAAAATGCACACCAAGGTTCAACAGAAGGGTCCCTTCATCACTCACATGATTTGAAACTCTTCTATACAAACAAGACTTTCTTAACGTATTCAAGATTATCTCAGTGTACTAGAATCAAACTATGTTGGTACTGCATTTATTATCTATTTTACAGGATTTATCACTTGATTAAAAGCCAATTTTATTGGTGAAATAGATTCAATTTTAGGCAAATTATTCTATTTATTGCAAATTCTTTTTCATACAGATTACCGAAACATTAAAAATACTGAAATACTACAGATTAGAAATAGTCATACTTTCCCCTTTTTAAGTCTTCTTGAGCCATGGTGCACACACGGCACTCTTGGGCTGCTGTGATCAGGAGATCCAGGATCCTTTGTGCCACCCTCCCTGGAGACGTTACCTAGAGGTCTCGCTTCAGGCAAAGAGGTCAAGCTCAGAGCCTGCTGGATCTGCTCTGCTGAAGCTAAGGGACATGACTCAGACACGCTCTACAGTGGGAAGCGGTTTCCAGGTTCAGATATGCATCATCTACTGAAATGAGGAAGTAGAAAAAATAGAAATTGACAAGTTCATGAGAAACTGCCCGTAAGTGCAGGTGTAATTATTTTTGTCAACTACCTTACATTCAGTATGTATTCAGACATATATAAGGTATTTTTATAAAAGTTGCAATTTTTAATTTTTGTCAGTTATGTTAAATCTAACTTATCAGCTGTCAATATAAAGACTCTACCTCATTTTCTTTGTGGTTTCCAGAAAATCTAGCACATGGTAAGTAGAACACCAAAATATTTATTAAATGAAAACGCAGAGCAGGGGTTGGGGACAGGCAGGCACGCAGGCAGGCAGTTATATTTGCTTACCTGGATGATAGTAAACTACACAAAACCTTAGTTAGATTAATACTGAAATTGCCTTCTGCTTTGGCTGTTTGCCGTTTTGGAAGAAGGACAACAATGAAGATGAACAGGAAAGAAATGAGAAACAGAGACCTTTGCTTACTAGCTAAAGGCTACCTACTGTAACACGAAATTGTCTACAAATGGTTTTCAACTCTGCGTGCTGTAATTCAGTGACAGAGTTCCCTAATTCCTCCTGTCTGGCTTCAAGTCCAGCTACATCGCCGCTATCTTCTTTACAACTTGCAAGATGCTGCTGCTACTGCACTTATCTGCTGTATGAGATTTACACTTGTTTTAAAGCAAAACTTTATTTCACGTAGGCTAATGGCCAGGCAGGCTACACTAGTCAGTTAACAGTGAGACGGTTCCTCATGGAGGAAAGGTTAGGTTGAGGCTGAGGGTCCTTAATCCAGATGTATAACAGAGTTGCCACGAGGCAACGGAAACCACACTGAGTGGAGCAGTGTTCTTATCTGTCTCTCTTCACCATTTTTAGCTGGCAGGTTTTGAGCATTTTAGGGCTTGTGAACATTACTAAATCTACTGAAATATATCACTGATCCTTATAAGCTTTGGCCAGCTGCTGAGCAAAATAACTTCAGAACTGTTCTATATGGTCCCCCACATCTTAGAACCTGTGAGCTGACCCAAAACATCCGGGGATCTTTGTGCTTTTGACACTGAGGACTATGCTGGTCTGTAGGAAGATGTGCCTATAACTGCTCTGGGTTATGTGACCATGGAGGTCACTTTATGGTGATGGGCAGAGTCTGGGATCTCTCAGGCTCAGTGCTTTAGGGCTTGTACATGAATGCTGGACTCCTGCATGGTGATGAACACCCTGTGACTGACGCATAAGTGCATGTCAGCAGGTGACTGTCAGCATTGGGCCACACACCTGAGCTCATGTTTTGACTTTTTCATTCAGGAGCTCCAAAGCTGGGGCCACTCCCATTGGCCCTTCAGATTCTCCACCTGAGCAGTGAGGGTAATGAAAGGTGGCTCTGGCACGGGTGAATTAGTCATGTATGGAGAGAGTAGAACAGGGGTGGATTTTACTTTTTAGAAGTGGAGACTGGCAATTGTGCTGTGTAAATGGAAAATCTCTCCTGAGAAAACACACAGCCTCCCCTATACGAAAACACACACAATCATATCACACGATGCAGACTCATAAGACACCAGGCAAGCGCACAGCCCACCGCCCCCATAGGAATGCAGCTGCTTCATCAGATGGAGACATTTGGTCATAATTTTTGCCTGGAGAACTTAAAAAAAAAAGTCCACTACCCTTATTCCTATCAGAATCCCAGAATCAGGGTGGCTCTTCACATTGAAGCCAGCAAGGATGTCACACCTTTCTTGACATCCAGACTTTTCTTTCTCAGCAAGTAATTCCAGAGTACTTACTGGAGTCACACCTCAGAGGGGCCACCTGCACGACCTGCAATACAGAAACAAAGCTATATGAGGGGCACATTGAGCTGTGGATTGTTTGCACCTGGCTCTGTTTCTCTCAAAGAGCATTAAAAACTGCATCAGAAACTGTAGTCAACTCCAAGGCTCCCAAAACAAGGGTAGGATGCACACTGGAAAAGACATGAGTTTTTCCTAGAAGGTGTATCTCTTAGGTCCATTTAGGTCGGCAAGTGCAAAATGCTTAATCCAAGAAGACATTGCTTCCAAGAACAAGGACCCCAGGGATACAGTCTATAACCTGAGGCCATCATACGTAAATGTCATTTTGGGTTACATATCAGTTGCTAAGAATCTCTTCTTCCACCACCCCAGAAAACAGTATTTAATGTCTATAATGCACATCGTTTTTTTCACATGTAAAATTAATTGAAAAAGCAACCAAGAAAGGAACATGTCTATTTTAGGGAAAGCAAGGCAACCTCACCCTCACGTCGATCGGCCTCTCTTCATCTCCTCTGCCCTCATGAGCTGGAAACTCCTGCGAGGCTAGAAGGACACAGAGCAACTGTCGGTCATAGATGCTTCTGTTCATGATTTATCCAGGGAGCTCTGCTGAAGGTAGACAATAGGACAGTGTGTGTGGATGTGTTCGGTTAAAAGCACAGCTTGGACTGCGCTAGAAAATTTTTCCTCATGAAAAGACAGGCAAGAAAGAGGAGCATGAAAGGAGTGAGAAACTGAGTCCCTGGCATTTTGCTAATGGCAACCTAACGCAACAAGAATAAGTCAGTCTACAAACAGTACTGAAGTACATGCTGTAATTTGATGAGAATCCCATTACTCACACTGCCGGTTTTGAAACCCAGCTAAATGGTTTTCTAAACCCCGTAAAACAATATTAGCTTGTAAGATTTATGCCCCAAGACCATTTTTATGTCAATGGATCCACATTGGCTGTCACTGCAGTTATTATGTGTTTTAGGATTTTGCACTTGAATAAAAGCAAAGTTTAATGGACAGATTGGATTCAATTCCAGGCAAAACAGTCTATTGTATTTATTCACTAATCCTTTGTTATAATCAATGACAGAATTAGAAACACTGAAATTATATCCTTTAAAATAACCATTATTAATAACCCACTATTTTTTCATCCAGACCGCCTTTTCTTTGTCATGTATGCATATTAGTTGAGTTTGAAGAATATCTGTGCTTGTTCTGGCCAGCTGATGTTGGACAGTTTATTTCAGGAGAGGAGATGTGGGTTGAATACTGGTATGTTTTAACTCTGCAGTACAAACAGTTGCAACAAGTTTGGTGAACTAATCACCAAATGGCCCTTTGCTGCCTTATTTGTCATTGTGCCTCATGTGTAGCTTGCAGGATTTGATCACTCCTAGGTCTTTTGGTGATAATACACTCTACTGTTTCAAAAATATTTCTTCAATCCTACCTGTTTGGGGCCAAATGCTGAGGAGTATCCTCAGCACTGAAAGAAGTTCATGAAAGTCTCTCAGTGCTGCTTCCCAGTGACCAGAACTTGTGACCTGGCCATGGCATGAGAAGTATCTGGGCCCTCTCTGTACTGCCCACACCAATGACTATGCCCAGTGATACAGTTACATTCACTGATGTCTGCCCTAAGCTATGTGATTACTGTGGCCACCCTGTAATCACAGCCAATGCCTGGGATGTCTGCAGACTCGCAGAATTCTAGGACACACATGAGTGAGGGAGCCACCTATGCTTATAACTCATGGCAGGGTTGAGAGCTACCCTTCTCGGCGTGATAACTGCAGTTCAACGACTCACTTGCTTCAGCCTTGGGGCCACATGTCTAGGTTCACATCTTGTCTCCTTCACTTAGGATCCTGCAAGTTTGGGCACATTCATTTAGCACCTCAGTTTCTCCATCTAAGGAGTCTGGACAGTAAACTACCACAACTTAGGTGAGGTTTGCAGTGAGGGTTGAATGGGGTACTAAAAGTAAAGTGTGTGTTGTGTATGGTCAGCAAGGTCAATTAGAGGTGAACTGACTTGCCTGAGGTCTCACAACTTAGCAAGATTCAGAGCTGCTTTCAAACCCAGGAGATAAGCTTCCAAGTCAGGGCTGATTCCATAACACAGACCTGTTTTGTCCAAAAATAACCACTTCAGCTTAGCCCAAACTTGGTTTTGAAGGAATCAGATAGCTCTAGGTGTCAAAAATGCTTTTGGTGACATCCTGATTCCATGCAGTGGCTACTTCCAAAAAAAATTTTTTTTAAGTGAGTGCTGTCTACAAAATGAACCAGTAACCTGACAAAAAATCCACAGATACCTGGTCCAATGGGATGAACACCAGTTTACCTGGAGAGGAGAGTGACCTGCTATATCATCTTGGTGTTCTAAACTCATGATACACTATTATCTCATATGACTTATTCCTCCCAAATGTAAGTGGCTCTGCCTGAGCCCACTGCCCAGCTACAGAGATGAGCACAGCCCAGCCTTGGAGCAGTGCTTGGGATGAAGCGACAGGAGAACCATTTTGGGCATCTCTTACCTCTGAGGAGGGCAATGGGTTGGGTGAAAGTATATTATTGATATGTCTGTAAGTAGAGAATTCTGGGTAATACACAAAAAATATGTTTAGGAATCATGTTGTGGTAGTTAAATGGACCTAGACACAGACATTATCATTAGATATTTGGGAAAACTCATGATATGAGGAGAAGCAAAAGCAACAGGCTCTCACACGTCATGAGCTCAGTATACATTTCCGTCTCAGGAAAAGAAGGAAGCCATGTTAAAAGGAAGGTCAGGCTTCCTTCATTTGTGAAATGCTTCCCTGCACATTTCCTCCACTCCAGATTCACTGTAAATTTCTGATATTAGTAATTTAAAAGGTAATTAATGATGTTAAAGCAAAAACAAAATAGACATTGCCATATTCTTCCAGTTACTAGCTAACAGGGAGCCTTGGTGTGCAGAACAGAATGAGAAATACTACGTATTACTAAAAGGAAAAAAACAAAGACATCATCTTGAAGAAAGAACTAAAACTATAAATTGTGGAATAAGAAGACAAATTATTTTTTGAACAATCTAACTAGGCCATTTGGAAGGACATCATTCAGTAGGGAGTATGAATTTAACTGTACAGTAGCAATATACATTTCATATCTTGAGAAAATAGATATGAAGCCAATAACTTCTCTACCTTTTTATATATAGAAAATATGAAATAATGTATAAGAATGTATTAGTGTTAACAAGTTCAAAGTTGCAGAGTATAAGGTTGACACTCAAATGGCAGCTGTGTTAATATACACCAACAATGAACAGTCCAATAAGAAAATTGCATATGTAATTCCATTTACAATAACATGTAAAATGATTACATACTTAGTAAGATAGCTAACCAAGGAAGCAAAATACTTATACCTCAATAAGAACAAAACATTGCTGAAATAAAGTAAAGAGGATATAAATAAGTAGAAAGGCATCCTGTATTCATGGACAGGAAGACTAAACATTATTCAAGTGCAATACTATACAAAGTGATGTACAGATGCACCACAACCCCTGTCAAACTGCTGACAACCATGTTTGCAAAAATGGATAAGAAAACCCTCAATTTTGAATGAATTTTCCAGGGGTCTCAAATATTCAATAACATTGTAAAAGAATTGTGTTGGAGGACACACGTTTATGAGATTGAAATGTACAATACAGTTACATATACTCAGAAAGTATGGTCCTAGAATTAGGGCACCCATAAGGACCACTGGGACTGATAGGCCAGAATTAAACGCATACATATATAGCCAAGTGATCTTCAACAAAGTGCCATAAATATACAATGGAAAGTGGAAAGCCTCTTCAGCAAATGATGTTGGTAAAACTGCACATTCTCATTCAGATAAACAAACTGAATGCTTACTTTACACCATATGAAAAATTAATTCAAAATGTGTCAGAGACCTAAATATAAGAGCTAAAATTATAAAACTCTCAGAAGAAAATATTGGGATAAGGTTTCATAGCAGTGAATTTAGCAACCTTTTAATGAATATGACACTAAAAATAAGGCAATGCTTAAAAAAATCAATTTTTATCCCAGAACTTAAAGTATAATAAATAGAAAAAAATCAATTTTATACAAATTAAGGAAGTTTGTACATCTAAAGTTCTAAACAAAGGGAGAAATATTTGCAAATTATACATCTTGTAGGAAATTAAAAATTAGAATATATTCTAAAACTCCTAAAAATCTACAACAACAATAAACAAAAGACAAAAGACAATTCTAAAAATGGGCAAAGTACCTGAATATATAAGTCTCTAAAGGAGGTATACCCAGCAGAGGAAAAGCTGCTCGGCATCATTAGTCATTAGGGAAATGCAAGTGAAAAGCACAAACAGGTACCAATATACACCTACTAGGATAATTTTCTTTTTTTTTTAGACGAAGTCTTGCTGTGTTGCCCAGGCTGGAGTGCAGTGGCTTGATCTTGGCTCACAACCTCTGGCACCCAGGTTTAAGCGATTCTCCTGCCTCAGCCTCTGAAGTAGCTGGGATTACAGGCGCGTGCCACCATGCCCAGCTAATTTTTGTACATTTAGTAGAGACGGGGTTTCAGCATCTTGGCCAGGCTGGTCTTGAACTCCTGACCTCGTAATCCACCCACCTCAGCCTCCCAAAGTGTTGGGATTACAGGTGTGAGCCACTGTGCCTGGCCTTAGGATAATTTTTTTTGTTTTTTTTGAGACAGAGTCTTGCTTTATCGCCCAGGCTGGAGTGCAGTGGCACTATCTTGGCTTACTGCAAGCTCTGCCTCCTGGGTTCACGCCATTCTCCTGCCTCAGCCTCCCAAGTAGCTGGGACTACAGGCACCCGCCACCAGGCCTGGCTAATTTTTTTTCTATTTTTTAGTAGAGACAGGGTTTCACTGTGTTAGCCAGGATGGTCTCGATCTCCTGACCTTGTGATCCACCTGCCTCAGCCTCCCAAAGTGCTGGGATTACAGGCGTGAGCCACCACGCCCGGCCGGATAATTTTTTTAAAGGAAAATAGTTTAAAATAAGTGTTTAAAGGAAAACAAGAAATTATAACTGTGATACATTGCTGGTAGAAATGTATAAAGTTGCAATCACTGTGAAAAACAGTTTGCAGTTGCTCCAAAGGTTAAACATAGAACTACCACTGGACCCAGGAATTCTAGTAGTAGGTATATACCAAAAAGAATGGCAAACAGCACTTAAACAGATATTTGTACACTAATGTTGATAGCATCACTATTCACAAGGGCCAAAAGATGGAAAAATCCAACTATCAGTGAACAAATGAATGTATAAAAACAAAGTGGTATATACATGTAATGGTACATCATCCATCTGTAAAAAACAATTTTGATATATGATACAATGCGGATGGATACTGAAAACACTATGCCTAATGAAATAAGCCAGACACAAAAGGAATATTGTAGGATTCTACTAAAATCAAGTGCCTAGAATAATCAAATGCACAGACACAGAAGATGGGATAGAAATTACCATGGGCTGGTACCAACCAGTCTTGTAAGGTGCAGTTGGAAACCGGGGACATGGCAGCACCCGGCCCAGTGCTCTGCCTTTTGGACGTTGATGGGACCCTGACCACCCCGCAGCAGAAAATTACCAAAGAAATGGATGACTTCCTACAAAAATTGAGGCAGAAGATCAAAATCGGAGTGGTAGGCAGGTTGGACTTTGAGGAAGCGCAGGAGCAACTGGGAAATGCTGTGGTTGAAAAATATGATTACGTGTTTCCAGAAAATGGCTTGGTAGCACACAAACATGGGAAATCCTCGTGTAAATGGAATATTCAAAGTCACCTGGGTGAGGTCCAAATCCAAGATTTAATCAACTATTGTCTGAGCTGCAATGCAAAAATTAAACTCCTGAAGAAGAGGGGTACTTTAATTGAATTCTGAAATGGGATGTTAAACATGTCCCCTATTTGGAAGAAGCTGCAGACAAGAAGAATGCATTGAGTTCTATGAATTCAATAAAAGAGAAAATATAAGAGAAAAAGTTGTAGCAGATCAAGGAAAGAGTTTGCAGGAAAAGCCCTCATGTTTTTCACAGGAGGCCAGATCAGCTTTGATGTCTTTCCTGATGGATGGGGCAAGAGGTATTGCCTGTGACATGTGAAAAACGACGGTTATAAAGCCATTTATTTCTTTGGAGACAAAATCATACCAGGTGGCAACGACCACGAGACCTTCACAGACTCCAGAACCGTGGGCTACTCCATGACTGTGCCTGAGGACACACGCAGGATCTGTGAAGAGCTTGCCTAATGTGTGAGTGGGAGGGGCAGGGGTGGTCCCGGCTGACTAGCCAGCAAGGGGCATTCGGTGGCCAAAGCCAAGGGCCCTCCTGCATATGCTCACCCACCCACAGCCCAGCCAAGCTCTGTGTACTGTGCCAAGCATGTGTGGTCTTGACCTGCACCCCTGACATGCCGTGCCTCCACCTCCAGTGCCAGAAGCTTCCAGAAGGGAGGAGAAAAGAGTTGTCAAGAATTGCTTAGAGGAATACCTCACATGAAAGATTTTCCCCACCCATCCGCGGCCCCCTAGTCTAATATACCCACCCCAATATGTGCAATCACAGTACACATGGTTTTTGGGGAAATTTCCCCATCACTCCAGGGTGATACGGAAAGAAAAAATGTGCCTGGACCCTCCCTCTTTGTGGGTCTTGTGAAAACATCAGCGATTTTAACGTCTGGATGCGTCAGCACCAAAACGGGGATTTGGTGATGAGAAAGCAAGGACAGGCCATCTGCAGTGGCCCACCCCAGGACAGAAGTTTACAGACACCTCCTGGAACCAAACTCCCGCCTGCAGGTTGCCTCGATGCAGGTGGTGGCTGTGAGCAGGGGCAGTGTGACACCCAGTGAGTAGATGCACTCCTTCTGTTTTCCTGTTTGTGAAGCTGAGGCCTGCTGGACAGATGGCTGGCGGACTGACAGCAAACCCCATGGAGTTTGCACCTCAGCTGGCCCTGCCTCAGCCAGCTCTGTATTTACTACACTAGGAATAGCCTGGCTGATTTTCTGTATCCATGACGGGAGGCAATGGGAACCAACAGCCCAGCTGGAGAGTTGGTGCTGGCAAAACAGTCCTTCCCCTGGGGGCCGGTTCTTACCCAGGTCCAGAGAAACTAATGTAGGATGTCAGACTTCACCAAAAGGCCCTTCCAGTTGGCTCTGGCTGGGCTTCCCAGAGGCGTTCCTCTCTAGTTCCTCAGGGACGTGTGAGAACCTGGCTAGGGAAGAGGAACAGGGGCTGTTCTCCTGTCAGCGCCTACTCAGCCCCTCACCCGGACTTTATGACTGAGGGGCCTGAGTGCAGCTGCAGCTGGGCCTGCGTCCCTCACTCTTTCCACCTTCTGCACATTCTTTGTGAAACTGGAAGGAGCTCACAGACCTCATCCAGAACACAGTGGAAGAGAACTTGCCTAGGAAACAGTTCACGTCTCACTTTTCAGGATGTGGAAATGCTGGGACCCACAGACCCTACATTGGTTGGTGCTGGGGCCATGTGGCCTCCACTGGGCACTTGCCGATCTGAGTATGGGGCCAGGGGGGCCCAGGCTGCCCTGCACTCCCACCTCCCAGCCCACAGCAAGGTGCTTTCATCACAGCGAAACCTGGTTCCCTCCAAACCTCCTAGCCACTCGGGCCTGTTAGCTGTCTGAGCCCCAGATCAGGTTGGGCGAAAGCAGGCAGCACCTCATCACAGTGACTCCCAGAACACGGCCATCCACAGGCATCTTTCCTTGTTGAGTTTTGCAAATGATACTGTAACGACTTCAAAATGAAAAGTAGCACATTAAAATGATTTTATTGTTTCCTAAAAAAAAAAAAAAAAAAGAAAAGAAAAAGAAATTACCATGGGCTGGAAATAGGGGGAAAGGAAGTATATTGCTTACTGTCTTCAAGGTTTCGTTAGAAATAATCAAAATTTCAGGTGTAGATAGTAGTGTTGGTTATGCAACACTGTGAATATATTGAATGCCACTGAGTGCACACATTTGTTAAAAGGTTCAAATAAATATTGTGTTATGTATATTTTCCCAGAATAGAAAACATGCACAGCCAAGCCCAGATGCCAATCTTTGTAGGTGCTTTCCTTTACCTTCAAGAGCTGGCCAAGGCTCATCCAATCCCTCAAGGCAGCTGGGAAGTCTAAGACTGAAGTCTGCACTGGAAGAGAAATTAATGGAGGGAGGAGAAAAATTAAGAGTCCATACTACTCACTCCCCAGGGCCAACAACTCTCTCTCCTGCACTTTATTGATCCAGCTCAGTATCTCCTGTGACCACCTCCTTTTTTCAACTGAAGACTTTGCACCTGAAGAGACTCCCAGGTCTTTTACCCTGGCCCTTGTCAGGGCTGATCCTCTCAGCTACTGCCCATTTGACCTCCATTCATGTCCAGGCCACATCAGGCTGTGTTGTCTAGGTGGAATGAATCCACTGTGAGTCAGGAGCCATTGGTGCTCCCCCAAATGTCCCTTTCTGGAGGAAGCCACCATTATGCTGTTCCTCCAACATGTCCACACACACACAGGCATCTCATTCACGCAAGGTGTGTGTCCTCCGACGAAGTTTCACACTCTAAACCCAGATAACTTTTGAAACCCAAGTTTTGTTGATTCCCCTTACTTAAGTTGTTCATTTGTCTACAAAACACTGCCCCAATTAAACTGCCAAAAATGTTTTGCAGAATTTGTATGCTAATTCTGACATTGTTATTACAAGTGTTTTTCTCCCTGAAAATTTATGTCTTTGTTACTGATAAAAGTATATAACTACTAATGCTGTTTTCAGCTATGTTGCCAAGCACATTTATATAAAAATATATTCTTAATTATTTTGAGAATCTGACAAAGACAATAACAACAATAATAATCTCATTTGCTTTATACTCATCTTTATATGTGTTACTTTATTCATTTCTTACATGCTGGGGCTTACCATACAGTGTACAATGAAATTGGTACTATGCAGCATGGCAGGAATGTACATTGGCATAGCTAATTTGGAAGATAGCTTTCTTGTTTCTTAAAAAAAATTAAATTTGAACTTAACATTTGGTCCAGCAAATCCACACCCAGGAATGCTCCAAGTGAACTGAAAGCATATTCTCCAAAGTCATTTGTACAGACATGTGTCTCTTAACGACAGTGATGTGTTCTGAGAAATGCATCGTTAAGTGATGTAGTAATTACGCAGACATCATAGAGTGCACTTACATAAACCTGGATGGCATAGCCCCCTATACACCTAGGCTGTATGATACAGCCAATTGCTCTGGGCTTCAAACTGTACAACATGTAACTGTACTGAATACTGCAAGCAAAGGTAACAAAATGATAAGCATTTATATATCTAAAATCTAAATATAGAAAAGCTACAATAAAATATGGTATAAAATATAAAAATTAGTACATCCGTATAGGGCACTTTACCATGAACAGAGCTTAAAGGACTGGACGTTGCTCTGGGTGATTCGGTGAGTGAATGGTGAGTGAATGTGAAGGCCTGGAATCTTACTGTACACTACTATAGACTTTATGAACATTGTATCTTTAGACTACCCTAAATTTATAGAAATATATTTTTATTTATTCAACAATTAACCTTAGCCTACCGTAACATTTAAAATTTATAAACTTTAACAATTTTAAAAACAGCTATTTTGTAATACTACTTACCTTAAAACATAAACATATTGTAGAGCTGTGCAAATTTTTAAAATATTATTCTATATTTTTTCTATTTTAAAATTTAAGTTTTAAATTTTAAACTTTTTTTGTTAACAGCTGAGGCTCAGACACACACATCAGCCTAGGCCTACACAGGATTAGGATCATCAATGTCACTGCCTTCCGATTCCACATCTTGTCCCACTGGAAGGGGCAGAAACACACATGGTGCTATCATCTCTTACGATAACAACACCTTCTAGCATACATCCTCAAAGGCCTACTTGAGGCTGTTTTACAGGTAAGTGGTTTGTTTTAATACGCAGATAGAATATATTCTCAAATAATTATAGAAAGTATAGCACAGTAAATACATAAACCAGGAACATAGTCATTTATTTTCACTACCAAGTATTATATACTGCACATAGTTGTACATTCTATACAGTACTTTAACATAACTGGAAGACCAATAGATTCCTTACCATCGGCATCATCACTGATGCCTGTCTAATGTGTTACGCTACACACTTGTGACAGCTACAAGACACTAGGTGATAGGAATTTTTAAACTCTATCATAATCTTATGGGACTGCCATCATACATGCTATCCATCATTGACCAAAATGTTATTATACATTACATGACTGTATTATGAATGCTCAAAGCAGCATTATTCATAATACAAAAAACAGAAATAATTAAATGTCCATCAACTGATGAATGAATAAACACTGTTTATATATCCACACAATGGACTATGAAGCAATGAAAAGGAAAACACATGACTGGCACAAGCTAAAGCATCAATTAACTTCAAAAATAATAACTAAATGATTAAAGTCAGACCTCAATATAATATATTGTATGATTCCATTTCTATTACACAGATGGGAAATTTATACAGACAGAATATCAGAGCAGTATTGCTTAGGGCTGGAGATGGGAGTAGGGATTGACATGGGCAAGAGAGAACTTCAGTGAGAGAAACATTTTTAAGTTAGGTCATGGTGATGGCTACACACAGTGTCAATTTAATAAATCATCAATTGTGTACCTTTATAGTTGGGTGAACTTTATGATAGGTTCACACCCAATATGGTGTTATAAATAAATTAATGTTATGGAAATTCTTATCTGGTTTTTAAGCAGCCAAGATACACGCTGTTTAAGCAACATTAATTCAGATGGTTGCAATAAGTCATTTAAAGTTTATAAGGTAGTTGTCCCGTAAATATATGGTGAATGTTATTCCATGAATTTCCTGTATCTATTGCAATAATCATATTTTTTCTCTATTAACCTCTTATGGTGGCTAATTTTATTTATTGCATTTTCAATGTTAATCTACCATATCATATTTTGAAATCATATTGGTCAGAATTTATGGTATTTTTATTCATCACATACTTCAATTTACCTTATCTGATTTTAGTTTCAAAGCTATGCTGCCATTTTATTTAATTGCACAGTATAGAATTTTCTAATTTATAGAAAATTATTATGTCCTCCTTGAATTTTTTTTTAGAACTTAATTCTAGGAATTTATATGAGGTACAGTCCATAAAGAATTGTTTTACACCACATGTTCTCACTCATAGGTGGGAATTGAACGATGAGAACACATGGACACAGGAAGGGGAACATCACACACTGGGGCCTGTTGTGAGGTGGGGGGGGAGGGATAGCATTAGGAGATATACCTAATGTTAAATGACGAGTTAATGGGTGCAGCACACCAACATGGCACATGTATATATATGTAACAAACCTGCACGTTGTGCACATGTACACTAAAACTTAAAGTATAAAAAAAAAAGAATTGTTTTAATTTCTCATACATGTCTTCAATGGGTATAGAATTGGTCATGTTTTTCTGCTCAGATTTCAACAAGAAACTTACCTCTTACCCCATTGGCAGGTAGGCAGACGTGACTTTTCCCATTTTCTAAATGGAGACTATGTGGGCAAATGCAGGTAAGTTCTTGGGGTATGTGAAGGGACCTCTCTTGCTCTCAAAAGACAACCTAAGAAGAAGGGCAGTGCCACAGCAGAACTGCTATCGATGCCACCTCAGTTAGATTCCAGAACAGACATACACCTGTAGACAACTGAGGTGTAGGAAAACAGTGGAGCACCCAGCACCCAGCAGAGAAAGCAACGCCTGGGGACAGGGAGGCACTGATTGTGGCAAGGGGAAAAAACAGCTGCCAGAAGGCTGTTCACACAAGGGTCTCAGGCTGCACAGACATCCACACCTGCTGAGGGGTTCTGGTTTTCATAAAGGATGTGGCTCAGCCAGGCCACCAACAAGCAGTTAATAAACAGTAACATGACACTTTCCAAAGACCTTACATGAGTAACGCAGTGATCCTCACAAATTTCCTAACAGGATGGTAGTACAATTCCTCCTGAACAGGGTGAGGAAACTGACCCACAAGGTCATGGAGCCTGCTTGTGGTCACATGGGGTGGGTGCAAAGCTGGACATTGAACCTTCCGCCGGGACTGAGTGCTGTCCTCTGAGCTCTGTCTACTGAGTGCCTCTGTCCTGTCTGCTGACCACAGGTCAGAGGTGCAGACTGCAACGGGGAGTAGAAATGTCACCTTCTCAATGTTGGGAAAACTCCCTGACAGAACTGCCCATGGCCCTTTCTAAGCAGTGGGCAAGCTCAGACCAAAGAAGGAGGCAGACCATGTCAGGCTGCCAGACTGCCAAACATTCATTCAAGGAGAACCCACATCCTGGGCCATCCTGGGTGGTGGCAAGATAAGCTAGATCACTGCTTTTGCAACGCATCCCTGTCCAGCCTTTCCTATCATGAAAAGAAAAGGGAACAGGGAAAAAAAGAAACAAAAGTCACTGTTGGGCTCGCTAACTCATCTGGCTACTTTCTTAATCTGTTTGCTTTCTGCTTGAAAAGGTTGTTTGGGTATCCTACAATCTGGTCGACATTTCTAAAGTAAGGGCAGTGTTCCAGGCAGCAGCAGTTAGCTTGGTCAGGTCACTGTTTTAGGTGAAGATGTGCAGGTGTATCTGCCACTGTAGTGAAGGACTGCTTTGGGCAGTGTCTGTGGAGAAATGTTTCAAAGGACATAGTTAAACCAACACTTGAACACCAATTGTTTTGTCCTACCCCTCTGTCACAGGGGAGGGGGCTGTGCTCTTGGCAAAGGTCATCTCTCTGTCATGATTCTGGAGCTCCTTCTGTTCTCCTGATTATCTGTCACTCAGTTATCCCCACTCTCTCCCACAATTTTAACCTCGGCTTCTCTATTCTAGGAGACTCTTCTCTCAGGCTCAAGGCTCTCCTGCCCTCCACCGTTCCTCCCTCCACCCCATACACCCTTCCAGCATGTGTCCCAGCTGATCTATCCTTTAGCCAAACTTCCTCAGAAAGAGGCCTCACCCTGCTGTCCCTGCCCATCTCCTCTCTGATTCACTCCTCAACTCCATGTCTGATTGCCAGTTTCTTTTCCTTGCCTGTTGTGACTTCCTGTGGACGTGGCCAAAAACCACACAGTCCTCCTGTTGTGCAGCGTCCCCTCAATCTTGAGATGTCCTCTCCCTCGGTTCCTATGTCACCACACATGCCTGGCTTGGCTCCTCCCTCTAGTTCTTCCTTTCCTGTCTCCTGTGGACTCCTTGTTGTCTGCCCTCGCCACTTCAGTGTCCTCACAGGGGCTTCCTTCCCTTCTCAGCTGACACCATCACCTGGGGATCACACTCACCTGGCAGCCTGGGGCCTCTCTATCTCTATGCTGGTCATGCCCACGTCTGAGCTGCAGACCCAAAGGCATTTCCACTTGTGCATCCCATGCCCAGCACACACTTCTCCAGTCTCAAACGCAGCTGTTCAGCCCCACCTCACCCCTTAGACAAGTTCCTCCCTGTGGATCTTCTTTTTCATTGATTAGTACTGAGTTGCCCAAATCAGCAACCTGGAAGTGATCTAGACTCCTCACACATCCAGTCCATCACTCATCAAGTCTATTGATTCTGTCTGCTAAATATACCTCGATTATATTTACTTAACATATATGCATATGTCTCCTTCTTCACTGCATTTCATATTGTGGGCCACATTTACCCTTCAGGTAACAACAACACTGGCCATTCTTGCCCTTCCAGTCAGAAGTGCCAAAACAACTGTTCTAAGATGCAAATCTGATCACATTACTCCTCTGGGTGAAACTTTGCAATGGCTTCCCGTTGATCTTAGAATACTGTCTGGCCTCCCGTGTTCAGAGGTCCCGGGCACCAGCCCTCTGCAGACTTTTCACTCACACTCCATGCTCTGGTGGTGGGGATCACTTCAGTTCCTGGAGTTCCCCTTCTCTTTCCCACTGCTCCCCTCAATATGCTATCTGCCTTTCTTGGAACACCTGTCCCTCTTCCTTCCTCACCTCCCCAGGTAATTGGGTTTGTCTTTCAGGTCTTGCCTTACATGTCACTTTCTCCAGGAAGCTCTCCTGGCCTCTCAAATTTGGGTCAAAAATGTCCCCTGGATGGACTTTCACGCCCGTTCTAATGCTTCTTATGCTCTTCTTATGCTTCTTCTTATGCTTCTTATGTGGATCTTTCTATTGGCACATCTCTGTCTCACAGTGCAATGAAATTTCTGTGGCAGCAAGGTCAGGCTTTCTTGTCTCTCATGAAAGCACATTCCTGCCTATATCCCCAGCACCTACCAGTGTCTGGCTCCCAGGATGATTTCAATACATTTTGGTGGACAGAAGAAATGAAGGGATAGGGGGAAGAGAACAACCCGCCAAAGTCTAAAGAGCCTATGGCTCGGCTACAGCAAAGTCTTGGTGTGTCCTACAATGTATGTCGCCACATTTGTGGAAACACACAACTGCCTCTTCTGTTCAAAGATGACCCTACTTATGGGAAACAGATGGAATTTTCTCCCCATGTGCAGGTAAAGACACAAACACTGATGTCATAGCTGCCACCCTCTCCTCTCACTGTTGCCCATGCCCAGCTGGTGCTGAAGGGACATCTTAAGCTGTTGTGACTCCATGGCCCCCAAAGCCGCGGAGCTCAGAGCTGCTCCTTGAGGAATGTCTTCCCCATTTCCTTCTCCCTGGCTCCTCTCCTCGCTGGTGTCCACTGGTGTCTCCTCCTGTGGCTTCTCGAACATCATCCTCTGTTCCTCACTGTTTCAAACTTTACTCTCCCCACAGAAGGTTCTTTTCCACATCTCTGTCACTGGATGCTCATGAGAAGGCTGATAGGGTGATTTTTTGTCAGGACAAATAAACTGTATGAAACCTACCTGAAGCACACTAGCACTCCTGAAATGAAGGTTAAATATTTTGTAGCCCTGTGGAGTCAGATTCATGGTAGGAATATGTACATGCATGTCCCATTTTTTGAGCTTTTTTCAGAAATTTAATGTTCCATATAAGCCAATGTTCCAGGTACCTGAGTTAAGCTCATAATGGCTGGACTCATTTTAACTATTTTAGTTAACATCCTTCACAAATCTTTACATCGTTTTCCTACCTTCTTAGACCATATGAAAACCTAATTATATTTTTTCATGACAATGAAGAGTCATCATAATAGCTATTATTAGATCCTGATATAAAGACGTCATGCTTTCAAAGTTTACAAAGGCAGGACAGACTAAATTATACAAGATCATTGTGCTTTTACAACCACAGGAAGATCAATCCTCACAGCACTATTTCTGCCCACTCTTCTCTAGATGGTCAAGTTTGTTTAAAATGTTGGTAAACACAAGAGTTATTGATTCACATGAATAAGTTGCAGTAGGCAAGGCCTTTTGCTCTCCTGACTCTGAAGTCAGAGGCTGTGTTAGCCACACCCTTCTGGGGGCTACTTCTCAACTACGCTCTTTGCAAGCTCTGGCTCGGAAAGTTGAACTTTACTGAACTTTCAAAAATGTAGCCACTATTTCTGCTATATTTTAAAGCTATAATAACAACGGAGTGTGCTCTGTTTTGTTTTTCAAAATTTCTGTGGGATAAAGTTGCATAGAGATTTTCAGGGTTCTATGTTTAATTTTAATTTTCAAACATAGATTTTAACTACTTTTTTGCAGTTATGATTAGAATGCACTCTCAAACATGTTACAGAAAGTTTAGTCCATTGAGAGATCTCTTGGAGGTTTACTCAATTTGGGTGCATGCTCTGGAGGACACCTTGTCCTGCCATTTAGGTTTAATTTAAAATCCTGTTTAATATTTTTTTTGTTTTTGAGAAGGAGTCTCACTCTGTCACCCAGGCTAGAGTGCAGTAGCACAGTCTCAGCTCAGTGCAACCTCTGCCTCCCAGGTTCAAGTGATTCTTCTGCTTCAGTCTTCCGAGTAGCTGGGATTACAGGCATGCGCCACCATGCCCGGCCAATTTTTCTATTTTTAGTAGAGACAGGGTTTCACCATGTTGGCCTGGCTGGTCTTGAACTCCTGACCTCAAGTGATTCATCCACCTCGGCCTCCCAAAGTGCAGGGATTACAGGTGTGAGCCACCGTGCCCGGCCTAGAATCCTGTTTAATTTTTAATTAAAGAGCATCCTGAGATTGAAAAGTGAACTATTAGGGGAGAATACAATTTGCAACTCCCTCACTACGTGTGCGTAAGTTTCCTCCACGCAAGGCAAAAACAAATTCTATTTAGATGCTAATGAACTTCACTTGCTGCCCATTCCACTAATTTTAAGTCATTATTTCAGGAAAATAAATTATTCTCACCATTTGACTTTACAATCTGAAAGTCCTGGGGCCCCAGCCTGGTCATGCCTGCTTGCAGGGCAGCCTTGGGTCATAGCTTCTGTGCTAGTGGACCCTGCCTGACTGGAAGAGGGCTCCAGCACAGGGAGGCCCCCACGGCAAAGCACCAGCCCGCATACTCCCTCCCCAAACTGTAGCTTCCCTTGGGCCCACAGCAACTCCCCACGTCGCTTGGCTGGAGCATGTCTGTGGGGACGGGTTTTGCTTTCCTTGTCCGACCCACATGCATGTGTGCATACACCCCACCCTGTCACTGCTGCAGCAAGAGTGCAGTCAGCCGCCCTCCCGCTGCTGACCACCATTTAGAAAAAGCCTTGGTGGGCACACAGCCAGCGAGCTCTACTCCCACCACCAGTGCCCTGCTCTGCCCTTGTGCCAACACTGCCGTGGGAGTGAAACTAGGTACAGAGAACAGCAGATCCTCTCCTGCCCTGAGTGACCACTCCTGCTCATGCAATACAGAGAAGGCACAGACCTGAGCCCGCCAGTGCCCCCAAGGCAACACTATCACCAATGCAACCACATACACAGTCGCCAGCAGCAGCCCCCTACCCTTCCCTGAGCTGTGTTGCCTCTGCCACTGTGGTGAATGCCCACAGGGGGGCAGGCATGCCGGCACCCACTAGCACCTTGCTGCAGTTGATGAGTGTGCACCCCACTATGCTGCTGCTGCTGCTGCTACTGCTGCTGCTGGCACATGCAAATGAGAATCCTGCTGTCACTGCACTATAAAACTCTTTGGCTGGCACCACCCATTGGAGTGTAGTGACCAACGTTCTGCGAGCACCTTACACCCCCCAGAGCAGTGAATTCTTAACTTCAAGGAGCCAGAGAACAAAGTCTGGGCCCAATACAAATTCCCCAGAGTTAGCACAGGTAGTTCAGGAGTTGGGAGCTGAACATTGGCCCCATAAAATCTTCCAGAAATGAAGCCAGTGGGCTGAAGCTACCTTATACCACACTCAAACCCTTAAGGTCATCAACTAGGATAAAAGAAGAAAATTCAAAGGTCAGCAACCTAAAGATTGAAGGAAAATAAGCCCACAAAGATGAGAAAACACCAGTGAAAGAACCATGGCAACTCAAAAAGTCAGAGTGCCTTCTTTCCTCCAAATGACCTCATTACCTCTCCAACAAGGGTTCTGAACTAGGCTGAAATAGCTGAAATGACAGAAAGAGAACTCAGACTATGGATAGAAATGAAAATCATTGAGCTACAGGAGTATGTTGAAACCTAATCCAAGGACTCTAGGGATCACAATAAAACAATGCACAACCTGACAGACAAAATAGTCAGTATAGAAAAGAATGTAACTGACCTGATAGAGCTGAAAGGCACATTAAAAGAATTTCATAATGCAATCCCAAGTATTAATAGCAGAATAGACCAAGTGGAGGAAAGTATCTCATAGCCTGAAGACTGGCTTTCTGAAATAAGACAGTCAGACAAGAACAGAAAAAAACAAGAATAAAAAGGAATGAACAAAACCTCTGAGAAATATGGGATTACGTAAAGAGACCAAATCTATGCCTCATTGGTGTCCCTGAAAGAGATGAAGAGAATGGAAGCATCTTGGAATACATATTTCAGGATATTATCCATGAGAAATTCCCCAACCTAGCTAGAGAGGCCAACATTCAAATATAGGAAATGTACAGAACGCCAGTAAGATACCCCATAGGAAGACCACCCCAAAGACACATAATTATCAGATACTCTCCAAGGTCAAAATGAAAGGAAAAATGTTAAACGCAGCTAGAGAGAAAGGTCAGCTCACCTACAAAGGGAAATCCATCAGACTAATGACAGGCCTTTCAGCCAGAACCCCTACAAGCCAAAGAGATGCGAAGGACAATATTCAACATTTTTAAAGAAAAGAATTTCCAACCCAGAATTCCATATCCAGCCAAACTAAGCTTCAAAAATAAAGGAGAAATAAGATCCTTTTCAGATAAGCAAATGCTGCGAGAATTTGTCACCACCAGACCTGCCTTGCAAGAGCTCCTGACAAGAGCACTCAATATGAAAAGATTGTTACCAGCCACTGCAAAAACACACTGACATACACAGGCCAGTGGCATTATAAAGCAACCACATAAACAAGTCTGCAAAATAACCAGCTAACATCATGACGACAGGATTAAATTCACACATATTAATATAAATATTTCAAGATAAATGGGCTAAATGCCCTACTTAAAAGGCACAGAGTGGCAAGCTGGATAAAAAAAGCAAGATCCATTGGCATGCTGCCTTCAAGAGACAGATTTCACATGCAATGACACACATAGGCTCAAAATAAAGGGATGGAGAAAAATCGACCAAGCAAATGGAAAACAGAAAAAAGCAGGGGTTGCAATCTGAGTTTCAGACAAAACAGACTTTAAACCAACATAGATCAAAAAGGACAAAAAGACATTGTTGGCGGGAGGTTCCAAGATGGCCAAATAGAACAGCTCCAGTCTACAGCTCCCAGCATGAGCAACGCAGAAGACAGGTGATTTCTGCATTTCCAACTGAGGTACGGAGTTCATCTCACTGGGGCTTGTCAGACAGTGGGTGCAGCCCACGGAGCATGAACCGAAGCAGAGTGGGGCATTGCATCACCCAGGAAGCACAAGCAGTCAGAGGATTCTCTTTCCTAGCCAAGGGAAGCCATGACAGATGGTACTTGGAAAACTGGGACACTCCCACCCTAATACTGCACTTTTCCAACGGTCTTAGCAAATGGCACACCAGGAGATTATAACCCACGCCTGGCTCAGAGGGTCCCACGCCCATGGAGCCTCACTCACTGCTAGCACAGCAGTCTGAGATCAAACTGCAAGGTGGCAGTGAGGTTGGGGGAGGGGAGTCTGCCATTGCTGAGGCTTGAGTGGGTAAATAAAGCTGCTGGGAAGTTTGACCCGGGTGGAGCCCACCGCAGCTCAAGGAGGCCTGCCTGCCTCTGTAGACTCCACCTCTAGGGACAGGGCATAGCTGAACAAAAGGCAGCAGAAACTTAAACATCCCTGTCTAACAGCTTTGAAGTAGTGGTTCTCCCAGCATGGATCTGAGAACGGACAGACTGCCTCAAGTGGGTCCCTGACCCCCGAGTAGCCTAACTGAGAGGCACCTCCCAGTAGGGGCCGACTGACACCTCATACGGCAGGGTGGCCCTCTGAGATGAAGCTTCCAGAGGAAGGTTCAGGAAGCAACACTGCTGTTCTGCAAGCCTCCACTAGTGATACCCAGGCAAACAGGGTCTGGAGTGCACCTCCAGCAAACTCCAACAGTCCTGCAGCTGAGGGACCTGATTGTTAGAAGGAAAACTAACAAAGAGAAAGGACATCCACACCAAAACCCCATCTATACGTCACCATCATCAAACACCAAAGGTAGATAAAACCACAAAGATGGGGAGAATCCAGAGCAGAAAAGCTGAAAATTCTAAAAATCAGAGTGCCTCTTCTCCAAAGGAACACAGCTCCTCGCCAGCAAGGGAACAAAGTTGGACGGAGAATGACTTTGACGAGTTGAGAGAAGAAGGCTTCAGATGATCAGTAATAACAAACTTCTCTGAGCTAAAGGAGGATGTTTGAACCCATCGCAGAGAAGCTAAAAACCTTGAAAAAAGATTAGATGAATGGCTAACTAGAATAAACATCACAGAGAAGACCGTAAATGACCTGATGGAGCTGAAAACCATGGCATGAGAACCACGTGACACATGCACAAGCTTCAGTGACCAATTCGATCAAGTGGAAGAAAGGGTATCAGTGATTGAAGATCAAATTAATGAAATGAAGCGAGAAGTTTAGAGAAAAAAAGGGTAAAAAGAAACGAACAAAGCCTCCAAGAAATATGGGACTATGTGAAAAGACCAAATCTACGTCTGAGTGGTGTACCTGAAAGTGACAGGGAGAAAGGAACCAAGTTGGAAAACACTCTGCAGGATATTACCCAGGAGAACTTCCCCAACCTAGCAAGATAGGCCAACATTCAAATTCAGGAAATACAGAAAACATCACAAAGATACTCCTCGAGAAGAGCAACCCCAAGACACATAATTGTCAGATTCACCAAGGTTGAAATGAAGGAAAAAAGGCTGAGAGCAGCCAGAGAGAAAGGTTGGGTTGAGCCACAAAGGGAAGCCCATCACACTAACAGCGGATCTCTCGGCAGAAACCCTACGAGCCAGAAGAGAGTGGGGGCCAATATACAGCCTTCTTAAAGAAAAGAATTTTCAACCCAGAATTTCATATCCAGCCAAGCTAAGCTTCATAAGTGAAGGAGAAATAAAATCCTTTACAGACAAGCAAATGCTGAGAGATTTTGTCACTACCAGGCCTGCCTTACAAGAGCTCCTGAAGGAAGCACTAAACATGGAAAGGAAAAACCAGTACCAGCCACTGCAAAAACATGCCAAAGTAAAAAGACCATCGATGCTAGGAAGAGACTGCATCAACTAACGGGCAAAATAACCAGCTAACATCATAATGACAGGATCAAATTCACACATAGCAATATTAACCTTAAATATAAATGGGCTAAATGCTCCAATTAAAAGACACAGACTGGCAAATTGCATAAAGAGTGAAGACCCATCAGTGCGCTGTATTCAGAAGACTCATCTCACATGCAGAGACACACATAGGCTCAAAATAAAGGGATGGAGGAAGATCTACCAAGGAAATAGAAAGCAAAAAAAAAAAAAAAAGCAGGAGTTGCAATCCTACTCTCTGATAAAACAGACTTTAAACCAACAAAGATCAAAAGAGACAAAGAAGGCCATTACATAATGGTAAAGGGATCAATTCAACAAGAAGAGCTAACTATTCTAAAAATATGTGCACCCAATACAAGAGCACCCAGATTCATAAGGCAAGTCCTTAGAGACCTACAAAGAGACTTAGACTCTCACACAATAATAATGGGAGACTTTAACACCCCACTGTCCACATTAGACAGATAAACGAGACAGAAGGTTAACAAGGATATCCAGGACTTGAACTCAGCTCTGCAACAAGGAGACCTAATAGACGTCTACAGAACTCTCCACCCCAAATCAACAGAATATACATTCTTCTCAGCACCACATTGCACTTACTCCAAAACTGACCACATAGTTGGAAGTAAAACACTCCTCAGCAAATGCAAAAGGACAGAAATTACAACAAACTGCCTCTCAGACCACAGTGCAATAAAATTAGAACTCAGGATTAAGAAACTCACTCAAAACCACACAACTACATGGAAACTGAACAACCTGCTTCTGAATGACTACTGGGTACATAACGAAATGAAGGCAGGAAAAAAGACGTTCTTGAAACCAATGAGAACAAAGACACAACATACCAGAACCTGTGGGACACATTCAAAGCAGTGTGTAGAGGGAAATTTATAGCACTAAATGCCCACAAGAGAAAGCAGGAAAGATCTAAAATTGACACCTTAACATCACAATTAAAAGAACTAGAGAAGCAAGAGCAAACACATTCAAAAGCTAGCAGAAGGCAAGAAATAACTAAGATCAGAGCAGAACTGAAGGAGATAGAGATACAAAAAACCCTTCAAAAAATCAATGAATCCAGGAGCTAGTTTTTTGAAAAGATCAACAAAACTGATAGTCCTCTAGCAAGACTAATAAAGAAGAAAAGAGAGAAGAATCAAATAGATGCAATAAAAAATAATAAAGGGGATATCACCACTGATCCCACAGAAATACAAACTACCATCAGAGAATACTATAAATACCTCTACGCAAATAAACTAGAAAATCTAGAAGAAATGGATAAATGTTTCGACACATACACCCTCCCAAGACTAAACCAGGAAGAAGTTGAATCTCTGAATAGACCAATAACAGGCTCTGAAATTGAGGTAATAATTAATAGCTTACCAACCAAAAAAAGTCCAGGACCAGACAGATTCACAGCCGAATTCTACCAGAGGTACAAAGAGGAGCTGGTACCATTCCTTCTGAAACTATTCCAATCAATAGAAAAGAGGGAATCCTCCCTAACACACTTTATGAGGCCAGCATCATCCTGATACCAAAGCCTGGCAGAGACACAACAAAACAAGAGAATTTTAATTTTAGACCAATATCCCTGATGAACATCGATGCAAAAATCCTCAATAAAATACTGGCAAACTGAATCCAGCAACACATCAAAAAGCTTATTCACCATGATCAAGTGGGCTTCATCCCTGAGATGCAAGGCTGGTTCAACATATGCAAATCAATAAACGTAATCCAGCATATAAACAGAAGCAATGATGAAAACCACATGATTATCTCAATAGATGCAGAAAAGGCCTTTGACAAAATTCAACAACCCTTCATGCTAAAAATTCTCAATAAATTAGGTATTGATGGGACGTATCTCAAAATAATAAGAGCTATGTATGACAAACCCACAGCCAGTATCATACTGAATGGGCAAAAACTGGAAGTATTCCCTTTGAAAATGCACAAGACAGGGATGCCCTCTCTCACCACTCCTATTCAACATAGTGTTGGAAGTTCTGGCCAGGGCAATCAGGCAGGAGAAAGAAATAAAGGGTATTCAATTAGGAAAAGAGGAAGTCAAATTGTCCCTGTTTGCAGATGACATGATTGTATATCTAGAAAATCCCATCGTCTCAGCCCAAAATCTCCTTAAGCTGATAAGCAACTTCAGCAAAGTCTCAGGATACAAAATCAATGTGCAAAAATCACAAGCATTCTTATATACCAATAACAGACAGAGAGCCAAATCATGAGTGAACTCCCATTCACAATTGCTACAAAGAGAATAAAATACCTAGGAATACAACTTACAAGGGATGTGAAGGTCCTCTTCAAGGAGAACTACAAACCACTGCTCAACAAAATAAAAGAGGATACAAATAAATGGAAGAGAATTCCATGCTCATGGATAGGAAGAATCAACATCGTGAAAATGGCCATACTGCCCAAGGTAATTTACAGATTCAGTGCTGTCCCCATCAAGCTACCAATGACTTTCTTCACAGAATTGGAAAAAACTACTTTAAAGTTCATATGGAACCAAAAAAGAGCCCGCATTGCCAAGTCAATCCTAAGCCAAATGAACAAAGCTGGAGGCATCACACTACCTGACTTCAAACTATACTACAAGGCTACAGTAACCAAGACAGCATGGTACTGGTACCAAAACAGAGATATAGACCAATGGAACAGAACAGAGCCCTTAGAAATAATGCCACACATCTACAACTATCTAATCTTTGACAAACCTGACAAAAACAAGAAATGGGGAAAGGATTCCCTATTTAATAAATGGTGCTGGGAAAACTGGCTAGCCATATGTAGAAAGCTGAAATTGGATCCCTTCCTTACACCTTATATAAAAATTAATTCAAGATGGATTAAAGACTTACATGTTAGACCTAAAACCATAAAAACCCTAGAAGAAAACCTAGGCAATACCATTCAGGACATAGGCATGGGCAAGGACTTCATGTCTAAAACACTATAAGCAATGGCAACAAAAGCCAAAATTGACAAATGGGATCTAATTAAACTAAAGAGCTTCTCCACAGCAAAAGAAACTACCATCAGAGTGAACAGGCAACCTACAGAATGGGAGAAAATTTTTGCAACCTACTCATCTGACAAAGGGTTAATATCTAGAATCTTCAAAGAACTCAAATTTACAAGAAAAAAAACAAAAAACCCCATCAACAAGTGGGCAAAGGACCTGAACAGACACTTCTCAAAAGAAGACATTTATGCAGCCAAAACACACATGAAAAAATGCTCATCATCACTGGCCATCAGATAAATGCAAATCAAAACCACAACGGGATACCATCTCACATCAGTTAGAATGGCGATCATTAAAAAGTCAGGAAACAACAGGTGCTGGAGAGGATGTGGAGAAATAGGAACACTTTTACACTGTTGGTGGGACTGTAAACTAGTTCAACCATTGTGGAAGTCAGTGTGGTGATTCCTCAGGGATCTAGAACTAGAAATACCATTTGACCCAGCCATCCCATTACTGGGTATATACCCAAAGGATTATAAATCATGCTGCTATGAAGACACATGCACACATATGTTTATTGCAGCACTATTCACAATAGCAAAGACTTGGACCCAACCCAAATGTCCATCAATGGTAGACTGGATTAAGAAAATGTGGCACATATACTCCATGGAATACTATGCAGCCATAAAAAATGATGAGTTCATGTCCTTTGTAGGGACATGGATGAAGCTGGAAACCATCATTCTCAGCAAACTATCGCAAGGACAAAAAAACCAAACACCGCATGTTCTCACTCATAGGTGGGAATTGAACAATGAGAACACTTGGACACAGGAAGGGGAACATCACACACTGGGGCCTGTCATGGGGTAGGGGGGAGCAGGGAGGGATAGCATTAGGAGATATACCTAATGTAAATGATGAGTTAATGGATGCAGCGCACCAGCATGGCACATGTATACATATGTAACAAACCTGCACGTTGTGCACATGTACCCTAAAACTTAAAGTATAATAAAATAAATAAGTAAATAAATAAATAAAAAGAAAAAAAGCTCAACATGACTGATCATTAGGGAAGTACAAATCAAAACCACAATGAGATGCCATCTCACACCAGTCAGAATGGTGATTATTAAAAAGTCAAGAAACTACAGGGGCTGGAGAGGCTGTGGAGAAATAGGAACACTTTTACACTCTTGGCGGGAATGTAAATTAGTTCAACCATTGTGAAAGACAGTGTGGCAATTCTTCAAAGATCTAGTAGTTCTGAATAAAACTTCATTATTTCTTCAAGTAGTTTTTCTTCCCTCCTCTCTTTTTTTTTCTTTTTTTTTTTTCTTCCGGGGAATCTATGTTATGTATATTGGCTGCTTGATTTTGTGCCACAGGTTTCTGTGGCTTTCTCTGTTTTTCTCCAGCCTTTTTTATTCTCCTCCCTGTTCTTTGGATTGAATAATTCTACTTGTCTATCTTGAAATTCACTCATTTTAAAATTATGTTTTCTCATTTCTACTGTTGATCTATATTTATTTTGAAAAGTATTAATTTTGTAAATAAATTTTGTAAGAAAGCTTTATGACTTTGAGTTATACTTCTATAAATATGATGACTTCTATTCATCTCATTAAAGATCCTTCAAGGAAATTTAAAATTTTATCCATAATGGTTTTACACACCATTTTTGAGATTTATTGCTAGGCTTTTTCATATTAAAGGCCTTCCCTCTGTTTTGCATGATTTGAGTGTAATTTTTTTGCTATTGCATTTCAGAGTTGGTTATTTCTATTTGATAGGAATGCTGCTTGTTTTTATAGGTAAATCTATTATTCAATAGCCTTGCTGTATTCTCTTATTAGTTTTACTTATTTTCTGTGTATATTATCTTGGATTTTCTAAATAGACGATCATATTAATAAAGACAGCATTTTAAAAACATTTCTTAATATTTAAGATTTCTCATTTCTTTTATTGTCTCAATGTCCTGGTGCTTTCTTGAGATGATCCAGTGTAATGTTTGTTAGAATCATTGCTAATGAGTATCCTTGTCTTGTTCATAACTTTGCTGGGGTCTCTAAAGTTTTACTGTTCCATTTGTTAGATGACCTTTATCCTCTCAAGGGGGCTCCTTTCTGTTCCTACTTCACTAAGATATTTTTATAAATTATAAATAAGCATTGAATTTTAGCAAATACTTCTATTCTGAATTTAACGTGTGATGATTTTACTGCTTCTCTCATTTTATTTGATGTTGAGCCATCCTTGGATTAATGGCATGTACCTTAGTCATGATATGCTCTTTTTAAAACATATATGATACTAAATTTGATTTTCTATTTATTATTTTTATTTGTTTTACTTTTTTTTTTTTTTTTTTGAGACAGAGTCTCTCTTTGTTGCCCAGGCTGGAGTGCAGTGGCACGATCTTGGCTCACTGCTACCTCCACTTCTTGGGTTCAAGCGATTCTCCTGCCTCAGCCTCTGGAGTAGCTGGATTACAGGCTCACGCCACCACGCCCGGCTAATTTTTGTATTTTTAGTAGAGACGGATGGGGTTTCACCATGTTGGTCAGGCTGGTCTCGAACTCCCGACCTCAGGTGATGCGCCAATCTTGGCCTCCCAAAGTGCTGAGATTACAGGCGTGAGCCACCATGCCTGGCCTCCTATTATTTTTACATTGTACAAGCTTTGATGTTGTTATGGATTAAACGTTTGTGTCTCCCACAAAATCAAATGTTGAAATCCTCCCCTTACCAATGTGATGGTGTTAGGAGGTGGGGCCTCTGGGAGGTGATTAGGATTAGATGAGGTCATGAGGGCTCCCGTTTCATGGATCTGACTAGTGCCCTTAAAAGAATGCTTAGAGAGCTTGCTTCTCTCTGCTCTTTGCCGTGTGCAAATATAAGAAGTTGGTAGTGTGCACCTGGAAGAGAGCCCTCAGCAGGAGCTGACCACGCTGGCACCCGGATCTCTGACTTCCAGGTTCTGGGACTGAGAAATAAATTTCTGCATCACCATTGGCAACCCTTTCGGTACTTTGTTATAGTGAAGTGGCATCATTTGTTTGGGGTAATACCTGAGGTTCATTGTCTTACGCCAGGGAAATTGAGGCTGCAGACACACAAGAAGTGAGTTTAAGAGCGGAGGTTTCATAGGCAAAAGGAAAAGAGAATAGATCTCTCTCCTGCAGAGAGAGAGAGGGGCTTCTGAGTGGGTCTTCCGGTTCCGTGGTAAAATGGATGGGGTTTTATAGATGAGCTTGAGGAGGCAGTGTCTGATTTACATACGGTCCAAAAGATTGGTCGGACCAGGCGTGTCATTTACATAACATGAGAGGAAGCTGGCTGCCCTACCCTAATCTTTTTATTATGCAAATTGTTTCTCTACCTGGCCAGCACCATCTTGCCTGCTTCTTTATTGCACACGTGGTTGACAAAAAGGGAAGATGGAGCCTCCATGTTGAACATGCCTGGCCCCCAGGTAGCCTTTTCCTGTTGGCACAGCTGCTGGCATTCACCTGTGCAAGCTTCCAGCTTGCTTATCCATGTCTGCGGCTGGATTTTATAGGCTGCTCTTTGCTAGGAAAGAAATGATTTGGGAGCTGCTTTTTGTTAAAAGGGAAGGTTTCCCAAGGACTCTCTAGCCTCACTAACTGCCTAAATAATTTCTTTTTATCTCCTGTATCAATTGCAACCCAACTGACTACAACAGATATGTAGCAGTTACATTTTTGATGAGCTTGACATGTTTGCAGTACATTTTTTAAACTCATGAATTATTTAGAAATTTATATTCTACCATAGAAGTTTATGTTCTACCATAATTTAATCATTTATTTTTGGTTAATCATTTGTAATTTAATTTAATGTTGATTTAAGAACACATTAGTCAAGATAGGCTAGATCATGCTACGGTAGTAAATAATCCCCAAACCTCTGTGGCTTAAAACAATAAGATTTATATCTTACCTACGCTACATAAGTATTAAAGGTATGCAGGGGGACTGCTAGTGGTAGCTCTTAGAGGCACAGGTTGGTGGAACAACTACATTTCAAATGTTGACAGTTGCCATGTCAGAGGGTAAGGGAGAAAGGAACAGAGAGTTCTGGAGGATTTCCCCATGGGCAACTAAATGCTCCAGGCCAAAAGTGACACATACCCCTTTTGCTTTTCATTCATTGGCCAGAATTCATCACACAGAGCCATGCATAGGAGATGGAGTTAGGACGTGTCATCCGACCATGTGGCTGAAAGAGGGGAGAAATGTGTCGGGTAAACGGCACAGCAGGATATCAATTGATAACCATTTCCTGATTATTTGTTCAGCTTGAGCTATGAGTTTCTGAGTGAGCGATATTATAATCTCCCACCATGGCTATGACTAGTTTTGTCCATTTCTCCTTGCAGCTATGTTTATGTATGTTTGAAGGTGATATAGTTAGGTCCAATTTATTATTTTGTACATTTGTTCTGTATTCTTATCTCTGTCAAAATTGATACAAATATGGATTAAGAGGATATGTCATTTTCCTCTACCTGGCCATCTTTACTAATGGACAGGACTTGACACAGGTAGTTATTTGTAGCTGGCTATCCACGATCTCGTTTTATTCTTTAGCACCATTGTAAGGCCACTGCAGGCTTGTTATTCATGACTTACTCTTGAGCACATGGAGACTCGGGAAGGCTGTGCAGCTGTGCCCCTGCCACAACTCCAGACCACAAAGAAAGAGCCTCAAAGTCTGGGCTCTGTCTTCTGCCCACCCTTCTCCTAGACAAGGCAGGCCAACACATGGAGGCCAGACAGCTATGAAAGACACGTCTCCCTAGAGGTTGTTTGGATGGATTTCTTTGGTGCAAATTCTTGTATTAGAAATGACCCATTTGGGTTCTTTCTCTCGCCACCTGAACAAATAGCAAGCCCTGGCGAGCAAGCGAGCTGCCTCTCACTCCCCTGTGATCAGGAGGAGCTGAAGGACTTGCGGTGAGGCGAATGAAGAGCAGCAGTTGTTTTTTGGAGAGGTTTCCTTAGTTTGTAGACCTCCCTCTTTCTAATTCTTTCTCTGAAACATGTATCCCCTTTTCTGTAGCTCATTCCCTACATCCTTTTCATGCAGGTTTCCGTTAGGCAGTCCCTGGGGGTGATGATTTATGTTTACACTTCCCCTTGATTCTTTGGCTCAATTCCCTTCTGGAGTGCCTGTGGAGCCTAATCAACTCTGGTGCTCTCTATGCCCCGAACCTAGCTTGGGAAGGGGACTTGATTAGGCTCTTAGGGCGACTGTGGTCTGCAAGGGCCACGCTGTGGCAGAGCCCTCTGTCTGCCTGTTCTGCAGAGGGGCCCTGTTTTCCATGTAGGAACTCATATCAGAGGTCTTTTCTCTGTTTTCCTGGTTGTTTTTTCTTCCTTCCTTCCCTTCCCTCTCTTTTTCCCTTGTTCCCTCCCTCCCTCACTGTCTTTGTCTCTTTCTTTTCTTTCATTTTATGGGCTAATTGTCCCAAGGGCAGCAAAACAGAAACTGCTGGCTACGAATCTGCTGTGGGGCTCAGGGCAACGTGACGGATGGTGTGAGATGCAGTCATCGGCAAGGTTCATTAATAGTTCACTGCTTTGCATCAGCCTGGTTGCCACGATACAGCATCATTCATAATTTAGAATTGCTGGTGTGCCTTCTGTAATGTATTATGACTGTGTTAGGAAGGCCTGGCCCCAAAAGCTCCCGGCATATGTGCCAGTGGCCTCAGAGGTCAGACTCTGGGCGGCTCCTCTGGGCCGGGAGAGTAGAATGTTAACCGAGGCCCTGGGAATCAGGGGAGGGAACCCTGCAACTTCCCTCAGCTTACTGTGCCTCTGGTTTGCATAAAGCTTCCTCCATGAGATGGAACAAAATTCATGGAAATAACATTTTCCCAGAAAGAAACTTGGCTGTGACTGAGATGTCATTTTGATTAAAAATGTCAAAAGATAAATGAATTACAAAAAAATAGCTAACAGAGGAAACCCAATTTTATGTAGTAAAATTTTCATTTTCTATATTCCCACACCAGGAGGTATAGTTATGATTTAGCATTGTTTTAGACTTGGTAAAAGGACTTTATACTTTCTAACTTTAGAGACCACTGCATCCTATAGACAGTCAGGCGGCTTTCCAGGCACTCTTCCTGGGTGATGTGCCTGCCTAGGGGGCTGCAGTTTTCCCTACTCTCACCTTGTCATTTACTCACTCGTTTCCCTCCCATATATCAAAACTGTCTCCCAGAGGCAATCCACCCCTTACCGTAACTTCAAGGCAATGTGCTACCTTTCCTGGTGCTTGCGTTTAGGCATTCTCTCTAGTAGCTAAGGATAGCAAATTTATTTTTTCTTCTCAAAATCCTTTTGGGTGTAACACAGTGGGAGGGGAATGATCTTGGGTGAGGTGTGAGACTTAGTGTTCCTGAATGTATGCCAAGTAGGTGACTCACTGCTTTTGCTAGTAAGCTTAGAGGCCAGGCCAGGGGCCACTAGTTTTGCTTCATTTAATATCATTTATTAATGAGGCCAACCAGATATTTCCAATTATTTGTCACTTGGCTCTGAGCTATTGGCCATCATTTTTAAAAGGCTGCAAATATTCTTTGCATTTCTCAACAAACTCGACCTAGTTTTCTCATTAGGCATTTGACCTACACCTGAGAAGGTGTAAATGATCAGGAAGTGAAAGTAAAGGAAATGAATATGTGGCTTCCATGTCTGGAGCTTTAGTTTCTCAGTGTCTCAGCACCCCTTTTTGGAGTGGTGAGGAGAAGCAGAAGCCTTTGGGGCCTGGCACAGGGAATGGCCATCCTGGCTGGGAGAGAGAGGGAGAATCAGTGCTTACTGAGCATCCTCCACAAGATAGCAAGGTATCTTAGATATGGAGAGATGTAGCGGGGATCCTGCAGAGAGTAGTGTGGGAGAGGAGTGCCCTCAGGCCTCCCTGATGTCAGAACCATCTGCACAGGCTAAACAGAGATCGATTCTTGGACCTTGTCCCTGTATCAGAGTCTCAGGGCCTGAGCCATGAGGATTCAGCATCTCCAAGATGTTCAGCCTGAGTGAGTTCGCAAACAGGCAAGCAAGATAATGGGGGCTTGGAGGGGGAAATCATGACACTGGTATTGGGGCTATTGAGTTTGAGGTGCCAATGGGTTATCAATCTAGAGTCCCTGGAGCTGCCTGCCAGGGGCAAGAGGGAATTAAATCTGCTGGCATGGATGAAATTTATCATTGATGGTGACATGCATCACCCATGAAGTGACCTTGGTAGGAGAGACAGAGCCATCAGGGGAAAGATGAATCCTTGGGGCAGCTTTCAGTGCCAATGTTAAGTACCTCTCAAAGGGTGACTTCATATTTTGGGTGCACAGGAGTCCGGAGGAGCAGATCTGGCTGAGTTGGATGATGACTTATTTAGAACCTGGGGCTGCTCTCAGGCTACTTTCGAGGGAGAGCTCACATTAATTGACCCTCCACTGAGAGCCAGGCCGTTTACACACATTCTGCGACCCTTAGACTCATCAGCGTCTGAGTTTCCCCAGGCCAGCTCTGAGTATGGTTTGGAGCCTGGTGAATACCCAATCTACACCCAAGGCAACCATGTCATTCAGAAGCCCAGAGCCTGATGACTGCTGAGAAGTGGAAGGGAACAGTTATATTTTACAAATGGAACTTGGCTGGGAAGGGGACAGAAACCCTGAGTCTAAGACAACTCCAGAGGGGTAGGGAGAGTCCCATCATCTTTTTGGGTTTCTACCTGGAGGCCAGATCATGTTGAAAGCCTCTTTTCCACCTCCTCCTCCACTCTGGGAAACTGAAGCTGGTTCGGCAGCATTTTCCCAATTCTACACCCTCACCCCCCACCACCAAACAACTAGCAGCTGAAACTGTCAGTGAATGAGGACAACACACACCAAAGCCAGGAAGAACATGAGGCAGGACCCATGAGGAGTAAAGACATGAACAGGCTGAGAGACTGAGGAAGGCGACAGGCATGTAGAGGACATGGCCCAGGGGCTTACAGTGGTGGACACGGGGCCACTTGGTGGGCTCCAGGTGTCTGAGGCTGCACCCAGGCACTAAGTTTGCAGGTGCAGAGAATAGAACATGGCCGCCTCTTCCAAGTCTCAACCCTGGGGGAGCCTCTCTATGGGCTGCATTACATTGCTTGATCGTGATGCAATAATGTCAACTAATTGTTCTTCTAAAATCCAGGAGTTTGCCGACTTGAGGCTCGGTGCCAGCCCATCTCTTGGAAAGCAAGCTGCCAAGCTGTGCTACAGCGCCTTTGCATGGCCACCCCACAGGCTTTTCCAGAATTCTGCTCCAGGAGCTCAGCTCTTTCGACCTTTCCTGGGACTCAAGGCACATCCTCAGCTTCTCTTCTTGAGCCCCCCACCCAACCCCTGCTCTCTAGCAGCTCTGGGGGCTGCACCAGTCTCTCCATGGACTGACAATAGAAACACCTGGTTGGTTAACTTGAGGTTTCCTGGGTGCAGTGGCGTTTCAGAAGCCCTTTCTTTCCCGACCTCAGTGTGGGCCAGAAAGTCTAGAAATTAGGGCCCAAAGCTATTGAAATACCATCAGCAATTCCCATTCCTCTTGCGTGGTCACTACCTGGGACATTTAGCTTCAGTTCCTTCCTTTTGAGTAAAGGGTTTTAAATTAACATTTAGTGTTAGCTGTAAATATTTTTTTTCTCCCTACTTCCTACCAAGGGAGAAAATGCCCATGAGGAAGATGGACTCATCTTGAGGAAGATGCCCATGCTGCAGACGTGGAGACATGTGAGATAGATGAGGCCGGCACACTCCCCACATCCTGGAGAAAGGCGGGAACTCACCAAATCCCAACCCCTTAGCCTTTCGGATCCCGCAGTCGGGCCTGAGGTGCAGAGCTGGGCTTGAGGCAGGGGCTTTGCTAAGAGCTGCAGGAGGGCCGAGGCCCGGGAGGTGTGTCCTTGCCTGCCACGCACATTATTTTGCTGGTGTTACTGCATTGCCCAGAGGAATGAGAATTAGAAATGTGAATGTGTGCAAAGAAACACTGGGGGGAAGAAAGACTTTGGGGAAAATCTTCTCCCAACTCAAAAAATCCCCCTGAATCTCTCCATTTCTTTCTCTAAACACAATTCTTTATTATTTTATGTTGTGCACACTATTCATGTTTACTATTGAAACATTTTTTAACCTATGAATTTGTTTATTTCACCTTGTGTCTTCTAGTCAGTAATAAGACACTTGTAGAAATCATGACACTATTGTTCAGATACTCAGATTTCTCAGGTAAATTAACATTCCCATCTTGACCAATAACTCCTTTGTTGCAAACATTAAATCTACAGCCAAAGACAAATGGAAAAGTAGGAATGACCAACAAGGATAGACTAGGAATGAGACACCCATTTATACTTTATCATTATCTTAATGCTGGTACTGTACTTCACACCCCAAAAAGTTACTTGGGAGCAGTCTTTGTTTTCAGCTATTTTCACTTGTCTATCCATAAAAGAATGGATGTATAACTAGCAGATGGACTTTGGGACTCGCTCACATAGCATGGTGGTTTCCTGCTACCGGGAAGCACAGGTGGTTCTGAGCACTGGCCACGCCCCACTGAGCAGCACTTACCCTGTGTGTCCATCTCTACATATGGAAGATGAGAAAAGTAATACCCGCCCCCTGGGTTTGCGGTGAGCATGGATGAGATCATGTACGTACAGCACTTAGCAAGGGTCCTGCCCCCATGAAAACTACAATGCATGTTGTTTCTCTGGGACCAGGGGGCACACAGCAGAAAGTGCCTTAGCCTCTCTGTCAAACGTTCTTTTCTGGCGATTTCATCAAGGTTGGGAACAGAGAGACAACCTTCACTTTGGAAGGTAATTTCTCCCCTTTTCTCTATGCCTTCTGGCTGATCCAAGGAGTAGACTTCCCCAGGGAAGTCTGACAATCTCAGTGGCTTAGGAAAGTGCTCCTCCTATGTGGGGTTGAGAACCAAGTGGCCGAACCAAGGAGGGTGAGTGGATTGCACGAGCTCCCCAGGACAGGGTGGAGCTGGAGGGCTGTCTTCCCTTCGACAGTAGCAGCTTTGAAGCACATGTGGGTACTGTTAGTGCAAATGGCATGGAGCATCTGGTGAAGGGCAGGGTAAGATTTCACCAGCTGTCAGTGTCAAATGTCCCCAAGTCTCATTTTGATTGAGATAGAAAAGACATCAAAACCTAATCTGTTAAAGCATTGACCTTAATAATAGTCGTATTTTTCTATATCATCCGTATCGGTAAGCATTTTTGTATTCATGTGAGCTAATTTGTGAGATGATCAAGGAATATGGAAAGACCAGGCCACCAAGCATGAAAGTCTGATTCTGTGGTTTAGTATGACACCTCAGAGGTTCTAGCAGTCCTTGGAGGGTCGTCCAATCGCCCAAGTTTGACCTGGGTGGCACTTTAGACCTGGCACGCCTCTTACTCTCAGTATTCTGAGAGTAAGCTCAGAATACTCTCAGCTTTTGCAGCCATCTGACTCTCTGACCTCAGAGCAAAGGGGCTGGAGACAGAGCTGGGTGAGGTGCTGGGGGAGAGTCATTTCCACTGCCCTCATTACTTGAAGGATGCAGGTTGAAAATTCCCTGTTGGTAATTCATTAGCCTGGGAAATAAATAACGTGGAAGGCACAGAGGTGGCATAGAGGAAAGTTGCTCACCAGTACCCAACCCCCACACCGGCCATACCAAACAGGTATGTGGGAACCCAGGTGCGGGGCACGATTTGACAAGTGGGGGTGCTCTCCGGCCAGTGCTCGCCAGGCAGCAACAGGAGCCTCTGGTGGAGAAGCAGTGCCAGCAGGATGGCTGGCCCACAGTGCAGACCGGCTTCCTGGGAAACAAGGCAAGTCCTGGCTCCACCACATCTTTGGCAAGTCTCTAACCCTCTTTCTGTTTCTGACTGCTCATGCTTTTAGCACAGGGTTTGACACATAGTCGTAAGAGCAAATACTGGAACATTATTGATATTATTAGTCTCTCAGCTCCTGAAACCATCTCCAGCAATCTTTCTCTGCCCCTGCACATGGAGTAAGGGTCTGGGTGGGAGAGGCAGGCACAGTTTTATCTGGCTTTCCCTGAATACCTTAAAGAAACTCCAGCGGGGGTCAGGTCTGCGATGCTAGCGTAATTGCCGAAGTTCCTCTGTCTCTTCGAACTTCCCTCCAGGACATTCCCTCCGCAAGCCTTTCTCTCCCCTTTCTCACCATCTGGTTTGCTTTCATACCTACACTTGCCGTGCTTCTGGACGTCTGTGGCAACCCTGCTGTGAAGGTCTCAGGTACAGAACTTAGTCTTACGTGGAAGAAAACACAGGGCTTCCCAAAGGTCTTACTGCAGGTTTAAACTGTAATGGTGTTAGAAGTATAAATAATACAAACTTAGAAAAGGCAACATTGTAAAGGATAATAATTTAAACATTTAAGATACTAATATCTTTGCTATGGACATGCAAGATAACCGCTGTCTTGTGCTAGTGGTTCTAGTCCATTTTCAAACTGCAAACACGGAGAAGCAGCCACAGGAAGGTTGCCTTTGAAGATCCTCCAAAGAACATCCTGGGACGGAAGGTCTGATGGAGACTGCCAGTGAACAACAAGGCCTCTGCCATGCTGTGGGTCTGGATGAACATCTGGACATGGTCTCACATGCAGCCTAAAAGCTGAAATGTAATACTCAAATTTGCAATGCTGAAGTAATGGGGAATATTTAAATAAACTTCCAAATGATGAGTTCTCTAAGTCTGCAGCATTTATATTTCTGATTTGGGACACACTAGATAGCTCAGTACCAAGCTATGTATCCAACCCAAAAGGTCAGAAGAAGAATACAGAATAACACAAAGAAGTAAAAAAAAAAATAAAGATAAAAACCTTTATAAACTAGAAAGCAAATAATAGGGAAAAATACTACTCTGAAAATCCTAATAAAATAGATTGAATAATAGGCAAATGTGTTCAATAAAAATATGTGGGAATATAACCACAGATACTTATGTCTTAATATAACACTTTAATATTTTAGGCCGGGCACGGTGGCTCACACCTGTAATCCCAGCACTTCGGGAGGCCGAGGCGGGCGGATCACGAGGTCAGGAGATCAAGACCATCCTGGCTAACACAGTGAAACCTCGTCTCTACTAAAAATACAAAAAAATTAGCCACGCGTGGTGGTGGGCACCCGTAGTCCCAGCTACTCTGGAGGCTGAGGAAGGAGAATGGCGTGAACCTGGGAGGCGGAGCTTACAGGTGGGCACCTGTAGTCCCAGCTACTCGGGAGGCTGAGGCAGGAGAATGGCATGAACCCGGGAGGCGGAGCTTGCAGTGAGCCAAGATTGCACCACTGCACTCTAGCCTGGGTGGCAGAGCGAGACTCCATCTCAAAAATAATAATAATATTTTAATTTTTAAAAATGCCCCTTATTCAAAACAATGTAGACTCTGAGAACCAATCATTTGTGTGCACTGTTTGTACCAAGTGCTTTTATGCCAAATCTAACTTGGGCAATGTAGTTTCAGACTGTTTTCTCCATGAAATGTAATGTATTCTTTCCTCATTCAATATTGCGCTTAAGAGTCTGTGTAGGGGAATTCTGGGCAGATAAAGGTAGTGCAGTCTAGAGCCTGGCACTTCCTCAGTCATGCCCTATTGCCTCCCCTACAAACAAACAAAAGAAGTGCAGATGAGAACTAGGCCAGGACAAACCTGGACTCCAAAGAATGACATGACAGCTGCAGGAGGAGCCCCTCACAGGTGGGAGAAGAGAGGAACGAGGACGGCCTTGCCAGGCAGAGCTGGGATCAGGTCACCCAAACAAGCGATGGCCCCTGGACCCTGGAGGGTTTTCTTTTCCCCATACTCATTGGTGGGTGAGGGGCTGCGCAGGGCTAGGCCTGTAAACTCTCCAAAGTGACAGGTTGTAGCTCCCTCCCACGACCAGGCCCCATGCCACATCGGCCCTGAGAAGAAGCTGTTGGGGAGAGTCTATGCAGCGCAGACCAGTTGCTACTGGGAAGAGAGGGCCCAGAGTGGGCGGGGGGACAGAGCGGAGGTCTCAGGAAGGAAGGGCGCACTTAGGAACCAGTGAAAACCACAGCGGAGGGGCCTCCAGTGCTGCGAAGCTGGAAGAGCTTCCTACCCTGACGTCAGGGAAACAACCCCTGCAAAGGAGTGACAGGGAAGGACTGTGCATCAATCCAACACCAAATGTGGCCAGTGAAAAAGAATAAGGGGCAGGCTGGTGGCCTTTGAGACTGTCAAAGTTTGCCAGAAAGACATGCTCACCAATGGGTGGAAACCATAATCCAGTGTTTCAAAATGAACTCACATAAATTCAGAAAATAATAGAAGACATGAAAGAACAATAAAAATCAGAATTAGAAAACTCAGAAATGAGTTAGCATTCGGGAAGAAATTAGCGAAAAAGTAAAACATGGTTTGGGAAGGGATGACTCAGAAGTACAGTAAGGGAACAAATGCCACAGATATGGCAAGGCAAGCGGTCACCTTACTGACTGGGCTAATCAACCCAGGTCAGCAGAACAAGGAGGCTGTTGCCACCCAGCCAGGCAGGGAAGAGTATGTTGGTGCTCAGGGGATCATCCCTCTTTGGTGCTTGGTGCCCAGTTTGAATGACAAAGAGGCAAAGCTGTAGCCAGGACCCGAGGAGGGCTTGAAACCAGGACTTTGGGCCCCTCGGCTTCAGGGTCTGGCTGACCCCGCCAGGGCTGCTGGCCAAGGGTGAAGGGATCTCGAAAGGGTGCGGGAGGGGTGGGTGATGAGTCTCACTTTGGCCTTGAAACCAGCTGCAGGGGGGCCTGTAGCTCCTTTCACTTTGCTCTTCCCTTGCAAGAGAAGTAAGACCTCACAGGCTTACTCTGGAAGCCGGTGTCCAAGGGTAGACAGTGATGGGTAATGCAATCTCCTAGGATCCCCTCTGGACACCCACATGCCCATGGCTGGCCCTGTCCCTCAAAGGCAAAAACCCTCATTTAAGGTTAAGTCCTTGCCCAGGGGATGGCTATGACAATGGCTTGCTGGTGTGGGATCCAAACACCCCTGGCTTAGCTTGGGATAAAGGAAGGGCTACCCCAGTTCCAGGGCTCAGTTGCAACTGCAGCTTCTCTCTGCCTGGACCTGCCTTCCTCCGTGACCTGTATAACCTGTGATCACTGCCCTAAAATGACCTCATGTGACTCTGTCTCAGAGTTTAGAGAACCCAATCTAAGGTGGCAGCAGGCTGCTTGGCTGGGGTGGGCGCCCTTTGAACCTTAACATGTTGCTGTTTAGAGCTTGATGATCCCTGATGGTGTCAGATAAAGGAGGCTTGAGGAGGGTGAGAGACCCATTTGCCCAGGTCTCCCATCCCCATAGTGACTGGGCCAGGACCAGAAGCCAGGCTTTGGCATTCTCTGTGTGATTTCCAGTCCAGCACACGCAATTCTGGAAGGAGTGCCCTTTTTGGCCGGCACTCTTTCCTGCAATATGTTCCTCTCAACGCATCTGGAGGCTTTTGCCTGACACCCTGGAAACTGTTTTCTTGAGGAATATTTCAATTCTGGTATCCTCTGATCTTTACGTTTTCTTCTCATGAGCATTTTCCTATGCCTAATCTTTTCTAAATGAGCTACAATTTGCTTTCTGGAAATTCCTTGTTGACTTTTTTTAAAAGAAAGAACTCACAACCAGATATGCACCATGATTCTTTCTGCTGTTGGGAAATCAGAACTTCATGCAAGAATTCCGCTAAGTGGTTTGAGTTTATTGTTGCAATGATGGAAGCAGTTTATCTCCACAGGGGGAAGCGTGCTGGCTTTCACCGTGTTAAGAATAAATATGCACTAATTAATTCTGTACAAGACACAAAATCATTTGAAGTCTGCTACTTTTTTAAAGCTCCATATTCACTGTAATAGTTTCCTTTTTGGAAATTATTTGTTAGTTGTTTTCTGCTTATATGAGGAAAACAAAACAAAACAGAACCAGCAAGAAGTGGATTCTTATTTCAGTTGATTAAAAAAAAAAACTGTACACTGTATCAAAACAATCCATTTTCTATTTCATGCAAAAAAGCAAAATAAGGAATATTCTTAAAATGACTTTGCAGGATGTGCTTTATTTTAAGTCAGCCCTGAACCCAAACTACACAGGATCAATTTTTGACATATTCTAGTCCATTCAATGATTCTTCTCAGAAACTGTATCTTAATATGGAATGAAAACTACATTTCAATCATAAATTTTTCATGCTACATTGTTATTTAATGAAGAGGTTGTATTACCAATAATAATAATTTAAGAAAAGGCCATTTTTATTTCCCCAAGCTCAATATACATATTTCTTTCATAATTATGAACTTAAAAAACCCGTCTCAGATGTAAAAATGTGAATTGGAATATGTAAACTCTTTGATATACCTGAAAAACAGGAAGGAAAATGTCACATACTGGAAAAACCATTGCCTTAAATCATGGAAATGGGAAAAAGCACGTTAAGGGAAGGGGAAGGCAGAAGAGCGGTCCTGACCTCAGTTATTAAAGAGTTACAAAGTATTCTAGGTCCCACTGGGTTGGTCTTTTTACTCTTCTGCCTCATGTCTGTTTGCACAGGAGACCGCAGCCCTCCAGAATGGTTCCCCTCATTGAAGCTGGTCACTGGTGGACCATAACAAAGCAGGTGTACACATCATTTGTTTTGCTCCTTTTTTTTTTTTTTCCTGAGAAGTCACTGGTGTTTAATGGAAAGGTATCCTATTAGTCCTTGGTTAAGATAAGGCAGTAAGAGTATCACTAATACTATGTTTTTGCTTAGAATGAGGCTGATCCTTCCACTGGCGTCTTCACGGGCAATTAGTTCCCTCTCTTTTGCTCCTAGAAACACAGGTAGGAGCTGTCTGCCCCCTATTGCTGTTGCATTTTCTGAGTGTGTTGAAGGCTCATCTAGTCTCATCACAGCAGCTTCCCCAGTGGGGATGGAGCGCTGTATATTGCATTGTAGCATCTCTCCAGGAAGTGCACGGGCCCCACAGAGGAAAACACAGGCATCTTTCTTTCTGACTCCTCTTCTGTTTCTCTTAGGGACGGGGCCCATAAATGATTCCTTCACATGATCAATCAGAATGCGAGACACTGTTGACTAAAACATAAAGCAAGTAGCCCTGATTTCAGAGAAATGGAGTTACAAATAACATTTTCAACAGTGCCTTAACTTGCAAGGTAGCTTTTACTGCAGAAGGATATCAGCTCCTTTTGTCTACCTATCAGAAGAGAAACAAACCATTTCCGTCGAACTAGAAATGCTTAGCTCTTATGAGAATATTGTGCTTTTAAAAAAAATTCAAATGTTAACATTATTTGCAGTCTGTGTTCTAAGGTTTCAATTTGTTTTTTCTCTAGTCCATTTGATCATTGTCTCTGGTGAGCGATATAGGAATATTAATTTGGCATAGAGATCTTCTTCTAGCTCCAGTTCTCCTGTCTCTCGAACTAAAAAAATATCTGTGCACAACTTCAAAATTCGATCCACATTTGGAAGCTCTTCAAACATGATGGAGTGAGAAATCCCACTGAAGAATTCACGGACAAATTTCCCAATCACAAGGACAACTGAAGCATATAATCCCATAATACTGAAAAAAACAGTAAGTAGAAATTGCATACAGCAGTTAAATATAGTTAATAAAGAAAAGCATGTCTAAAAGAAAAAAATATTACTTTCCCTCAAATTCTGTAGAAGAAATAAGCAAATCAAATCTTACATTTTTTCCCTTTGGTTAAAAAGTTGACTTTTTATTATAGAATTATTATAAATAGAAAATAGAATTATGTATTACAGAACTGTTAGACTTGAAAAATGAAAGTCCTTTACAATCTCACATTCTGTAAATAATCAATGCTAACCGTTTCATGTATGAACTTTAGGTGGTTTTGTTGCATATATTAAATGCATAAACCATATAATGTATTTGGTAGAAATGTAATTATATATGATTTTCTGTGGCAGGCTCCTTTCCTTTTAGCAATACTGTCTCTCAGATTAATTTTTATAAAATTCTGGGTGAAAATCATTTCTTATGAGGCTAACTTTGAGAAATACAATATTTTACATTTGTGTCTTGTGGGGATGTGCGTGTCCTAGGATTTAAGCATCAGAACATGATGCGATGTTTCAGAAGTTCAAAAGCAGGATGTCTAATAGATCCATCTGCTAAGGATTAGAAGGAAATCTAAGCAGAAAAGTGATATTTCTGTGCTAATTTATACAAGTAAACATGGGATTGGATTAAACTGTGCCATAACAGGAAGACGTGGAGTAAAGAAGCCATATACCTGGGCTGTGTGAGTCACACTGGGAGTTTTGATCTCTTTGGGACTCTGGTGCCTCATTTTTTGAAATAAAATGCACACAAGGATGTGTGCATTTTAATACTGCAGCTCTAAAATTAGCGAATTCTAAGAAGATAAAAGGCTTCCCACTCTCAACTTTACATGATACAGAAGTAGACTCTTGTAACTGTGAATTGTTCAATGAGTCCTTACCCATAGCCAGCCAGGAACCCCAGACTTGGGGGACTGACTTTGTCATTGAAGACCACCAGTTCCAGGGCCTGAGAGTTCGGATTGTATATTCTGTTTCCAGTCAGGTTGAGAACCCACCACTCACTGTTATATTTAGTTGTATTGTCTCTGGACAAAATGATGGTAATATCCATGAAATTATTTTCTAGAAGGGTAGAAATGCAAAATTAAGTTGACATGAGAATTTTAGGATTTCATGCACAGCAACAGTTTTCAGATGGCAAAATCTGGTTACTAACTATAGCATAAGGTTCTAGGATGAAAAGGATGCATGGACATACTAGAAGCGTGAATGGGCAAGGAAGAGAGGGCCCTGGGTATGTAAGTGATTTTTCCTTTTCAGTGAGAGAGGTCAGCCGCTGTTGCTACATGGGCATGGCAGCAAAACCACAGGGCAAAAGTAGAGGATCCACCACCTGAGCAGCTGAGCTGATAATCCCAAATGACTCTGTAGACATTTAAAAACCCAAATTTCTGACTTGTGATCAAATCAACCAGTCCATTCATATTACCAGCATTTGTTGCATGTCTCATAGGAGGAAGGCACTCAATTAGGTGCTAAAGGGTTCCAAAATTGCATATAACATTGTTCCTTATCTCCATGGGAAAAGACTGTATACACAAGCACAATTTATGGGCACATGACAGCCACCATGGGACCAGCATTGACAAGGTCTGTTGGCTTAGAGAGACCACTTCTGGATAGTATGCTCCATGGGTGCTTCACAGAGGAGATAACTTCTGAGCTGAGATTCGCCAAGTGAGAACTTCAATAGGTGAAGGTGGGTGAGGAGGGAAGCTCATTTCAGGAAGAGTGATGGGACACAGCTCAGCAAATCTCTGAGAACCATAATATCGGGTCAGTGATTACTTTTATTGGAGTTTAGGGTGAATGCAAAAGAGTTGTAAAAGATAGGGTAAAAAGCTTGTAGTGACATTGTATAGGTCTTTCTAAGAAGATTCCACTCCTGCCAATGATACTGGTGCTTCCCCTGAGAAACATGGTGGTGAACTATAAACTAAACTGTGTGAAGGTGGGAGCAACATCAGCATCATTTCATACTAAATTCCTAGATCACAGGTGTCCAATCTTTTGGGTTCGCTGGGCCACATTGGAAGAAGAAGAATTGTCTTGGGTCACCCAGGAAATATACTAACACCAAGGATAGCTTATGAGCTAAAAAGATCATACCAAAATTTCATAATGTTTTAAGAAAGTTTACAGATTTGTGTTGGGCCACATTCAACACTGTCCTAGGCCACATGCAGCCCATGGGCTGCAGGTTGGAAAAGCTTGTCCTAGATGGTAGGAATCCAAGAATGGTACTTGACAAAAAATGTCTATGGCATGGAAGGATGGATCAATGAAGAAGAGTAAGGCACAGCATGATCCTATTAGAGCCAAAGTCCTTATCAAGGAAGAAGGTGAACCACCCAGAACACACAGGAACAGGAAGAATGTTGGTTCTGAAGTCAGGAGACAGCTGTAAGGAGGAAACACAGGAGCTTGCAGCACAGAGTCACCTCAGGAAGAGCTTGTGGAGGGACAGAATTATTTCATGGGAAATTACTGATTGTTGAGCAATCTGCATGTCCAGATGAAACATTTCTACAACTATTCCTGACTGAAAGGGAAATAGCAAACTTCTTAATGCGTCTTGCAAATACCTTGTAAGAGATACTTATTTACTGCTGAGGAAGAAAGGTGTGTGATGTGGAGCCCGGCCTTTTGCCCATCCCCAGGGCCCTCCATTGGGCCTCTACTAGGCCAATCTCTGTGTGGCTTTCCAACTCTTCACTTATGTCTGCATCTTTCTAGCTAAACACAGCAGCACGGAGCCCAGGCTCCAGCGCCTGGCCTATTGCCTAGTGTGTAGTGGCCCATGTTGGAGAATGAATTAATGTGTGCCAGATAACTGCACTGGTTTTCCGCGTTGTCCAGATCTATACATCTGCTTCTGGTTCAAGCCATGAAGTCAAGCAATTCTTGATAATTAATAGAATCCAGAAACATGAATTTATACCATCCAAGTTATATTGCGAAAATTCAATCACTAAAGTGCCTCTAGTGATACTACTAATCCTTGGGCTGAATCAAGTACATTTCATGCTATATTTTTACTGTTCTTATTGTGAGGGGCAGACATATTTAGCAATGTATGAGGCAGTTTCCTGTCAGTAATCTGGCTGCTAATAGAAACAAGTCTATAATCTGATGAATCAGTACTATAAGAAATTTGGTGCGAATATACGTCAATCAAGTTCCATATCTATGAAAAAGAGAAAATGAAGAATGTGGGTCCCAGGTGAGTGAGTGACTCCTTTGGGCTAGTGAAGGCTGTCAGGGGTTTCATATATAGTCTGTCACACAGGGAGAGATAACTAGAAAGTGGTTTCATGAAGGTCCAAAGCACAAACTGTTGAAATTGAATAAAACTAGGATTGAAAACAATTCTGAAACAAATTTTTCTCATTCTTACCAGATAAAAGTTGCTTTATAGGTTTTGAGTTAGAATCACTAGGTGCTTTCACATAATATGGATAAATCTTTTCTATGGTCCTGTACATTAAGAAAAAAAAGATACAATTACGTTTTAGTTGTTTTACCCACCTAAAATTGATTTTTTGTTGTTATTGTTGACCTTGTATCACCAAATAATAGTGAAAGTTTCATATATCTGTACAATGTGTAGACATCATAATTTACGGGTTCCTATTACAGTCAAAACTCTCTCATATGGAGCAAATTCACTGAGCTTTATCTGTATCTGCATGTAAGTCTGTACAACAAGCTCGGTGATGGCTTACAAACAGCCACAGGCCTTTTCCCAATTCTGCAGCTTGTTTCTGAAGCCAAGGGGCACTGTTTCTTGCTAGGATCCTCCAATTCTTATCCATACCATTAAGCACGCTTCAAATTTTAATTTTTAGATTTTCAAACATACCTATAATCAGGCTGATATGGTTTGGTTGTGTCCCCACCCAAATCTCATCTTGAATTGTAGCTCCCGTAATCCCCACATGTTATGGGAGGGGCTGGTGGCAGATAATTGGATGATGGGGGCAGGTTTTCCTCCATCATCATGCTGTTCTTGTGATAGTGAATAAGTCTCATGAAATCTGATGGTTTTATAAAGGGCAGTTCCCCTGCACGTGCTCCCTTGCCCACCGCCATGTAAGATGTGCCTTTACTCCTCCTTCGCCTTCCACCATGATTGTGAGGCCTCCCCAGCCATGTGGAACTGTGAGTCAATTCAACCTCTTTCCTTTATAAATTACCCAGTCTCAGGTATGTGTTTATTAGCGGTATGAGAATGGACTAATACACAAGTAGACTTCATGAATTGATCTAGAGGGGAGTGAGAGGTGAAGAGAGATGGTGGCCTGGACCTCGAGTGACCTCTGCCTCCCACAAGCCCAGTGCCTTCAATACATTCTTGAGTAGATATGCCTTATCATCTGGGAGGTGATAGGAGAGGATCTGACAGTCTCCAAGGGCCCTTCAACTTTAGTGAGTCGCAAAACATATCTCAGTCTGGGAACATTTCTAAGGCCTGCACCCTGGTGATCCATATATTCCATGCATTACAATGGGGCCAGGGCAGTCTGGAGGACAAAACTGGGGCCATCACTGGTGGATGCCTGAACTATTTTGTTTAGCAGTTTTAGATCCATATCATTTTTTTCTTGCTAGTTCATATATTAGAATCTAAACATCTCAGCTTTCATCTGTTGGAAGTGGAGTACTTAAGTGGCAGGATAGTATTTTGAGATATATAATATGTTTTTTTCCAAATTTCCTTTTACCCCTTGTCCTCCTCAACCGTGTATACTCTACCCCCATTCAGAGACCCAGGGGCAGGAATAATAGTAGAAAAGGGTCTCACAGGGTCTTTGCCTGGCTTTTGGTGATTATGGTCAGATAAGAGCAAGGTTTGTCATCTAGAGATGAGATCAATACTTTTTGGGCCAGGTGGACAGAGAGTGGGAGGAGAATGTGCTTGACACTAGTGGCTCCCTAAGAAGGAACCTTGAGCCCCACCTCTTTCCACTGAGGGTGAACGAGTGAAGTGGGTACCCACGATCGGGTGGCAGACATGAATGACAAGAGGCCTGAATCATTTTAGTGCAGTCCCATGTCCCATTCCTGAATAGGGCCCTTGGAGGCACCAATAGCCCAGTACCCCCGGGGGCAGGGCAGGGAGAATGCGATACCACTGGGCACATACTATGTTGGGCCATATGAACCCAGGTGGACCTGCCAGAGCTCCCACACCTCCAAATCGCATGAGAATCAGCATGATGATTTCTAGTGTGCCCCAAAATGGGTCCCAATAGCTGAGGGAGACAGCCACTCTGCAGACTGAAGACAGACCTGGAAGAATAATGTCTGTCTCAATGGAAGCCCCAGCGGGCCAGCACTTTCCATGCACTGATGAGCTCCCTGTAGCCTGGCACCATACAAACCCTCATTCATTTGTTTTTTATTATTTATTTATTTATTTTTGAAATGGAGTCTCACTCTGTTGCCCAGGCTGGAGTGCAGTGCTGCGATCTAGGCTCACTGCAACCTCTGCCTCAAGAATTCAAGTGATTCTCATGCCTCAGGCTCCCAAGTAGCTGGGAGTACAGATGTGCACCACCACGCTTAGCTAATCTTTGTATTTTCAGTAGAGACAGGGTTTCACCATGTTGGTCAGGCTGGTCTTGAACTCCCGACCTCAGGGGATCCACCTGTCTCAGCCTCCCAACATGCTGGGATTACAGGCATGAGCCACCATGCCTGGCCCAAACCCTCATTTGGAACATAGACATAACCCTGGGGACAGTGGACAGAAAACTCCATAGCTGAGATTAAGTTTCTTTAATCTTGCAAAATGGGGCCTCCAAATAGAAATTAACTTTGTGTTACCAAAGAATGAAGTTGCATTCCTCATACACATGAATCTGTAGATGGACATTTTGTACCAGCTGCATATACCTAACAAAGCTCTATTAGTAGGAAAAAATACACTTACACTGGTGTTTTTGAACTTTCTGTGCTGTTGCCTGCTATCATTTTAGCGATATTCTTTCGAGTAATATTTTTAAGAGGAAAAGAAAGCTTATCTGTTGCTATTTCCGATTTTGCACCCAGACTTAAGTTTCTGTGAAGAAAAAAAAAAAGCTTAATGTCAGTGATTATTCAGAAGTCTGGAAAAGAGATTTACAACATATTTAACTCTTAATTTGATTAATGTCACCACGTTTTCATTGGGTCCACAACGGTCAATCCTGACCCTTTCAGTCTACTTCACCTCAATGCTCAGCTTCTTAGACAATCGAGTTAATAGAACCCAAGGAGGCCACAAACACTTTTAAAACAGAGTTGAAGGTGAGAAAAAGGAGGAACCTGCTGACCAAAAGAGAACCCATCTTGATGTTTTAATACGAGGTTCTAAAATATTCTTATATCAACCCAATGATGTTAGTCTCCACGGCAATAAACAAACTCCATGTGTTAAAAAGAATATTCAGTCAGAAATTGAATTTTAATTGTTCTGTTTTTTTGTTGTTTTTGTTGTTGTTGTTGTTTTTAGTAGCTCTTTAAAGAAAAGGCTAGAAAGTAAATTTTTGGTAATTTGTACAGAATTGGATATAAGGAATTTGGGACACTTAAAAGGAGAAAATGGGATTGAAGGAGTTCTTTACATTCTGAACAGCCCCACTTTGTATTTTTTTTAACTGTTTCCTTGTAAATTTTAGATGCCAGAAAGCATTCTTCTGTACCTGTCATGCTTCTTTTTTAATTCTAACTAACAAGTCACTCTCATGGACCCAAATGAACCTACTGCTTGTGTGCCCAAATAAGCTTGCTTAGGGTTCTAAGTCTCAAAACTGTGATGAAAGAGCTAAGTTAATCAACTAGTGTATTATGTTGAGGTTCCCAAAACTGCATCACTAAACTGTTGGGCTTTGGATGCAGTATTTGGATGTGAGAACTTCTGCTGAGATATGCTCTTTCTACCAACACAAGGAAAAACAAAGCAGGGGCCACGTGCTGGCCACTGGCTCAGGCTGGGCAGAGAGGACTCTCAGGAAGTCTCTCTCTTCGGAGACAGTCAAGCTGCCCTCGCATCTCACACGTTGGAAGGGGGTCAGGTAGGGCTTCCCCAGTATTGGTGGAATGCAAGTGATAATATGGGCCTCCAGAGGCTGCAATTTCTTTTTTTTTTTTTTTTTTTGAGACGAAATCTTGCTGTCACTCAGGCTGGAGTGCAGTGGCGTGATCTCAGCTCACTGCAACCTCTGCCTCCCTAGTTCAAGTGATTCTCCTGCCTCAGCCTCCTGAGTAGCTGGGATTACAGGCATGCGCTACTACCTCCCAGCTGATTTTTGTATTTTTAGTAAAGACAGAGTTTCGCCATGTTGGCCAGGCTGGTCTCAAACTCCTGGCCTCAAGTGATCTGCCCACCTCAGTCTCCCAAAGTGCCAGGATTACAGGTGTGAGCCACCACAATCGGCCTGAAATTTCTTTATCATTTAGACCAAACTTCAGCCTTTGGTGAAAGTTGTAAAATTCCCCCAGACTGTTTCATTTTGTAAATCATCACCTTGCCTCTCTTCTCTCTACCCTCTCTTTCTTGCTCACAGAACTCACTGTCAGCCTCTCTTTAAAAACAACTTATTATCTAGAATAACCCAACTTTAAAATATATAATTTATTTGGATTTCAGTTTTTAAGGAGCAGGATATTGATTTTTTTGGAGATTTATAGTTACATTCAAAATTTTTTTTGCATTGAAACAATTTTAGATTTTCTAAAAACCAGTATTAATTTAAATCAACTTTCAAATCACTTGATGCTCTGCCTTCATTTCTAGTGTTTATGTGAAAGCACGTGGCCAGTTCTTGCTGCATCAGAGCTAGGAACGGCCTTTCTCTCTCAGGTGGGCATAATTCACTTCCTTTTCCATGGAAGATTATGGACAGTGAAATCTAAGATGCATGAGGAAAACCTAAGTGGAGAGGCTCCCTGTGGTAGATTTATAATAGTGCTGTAAGTGATGCATGAGGGAGGTGTTCACAGTAATACTATTTTGCATTATAGTAAGAAACATTTGAAATTTAAGTGTTGTTTCACCAATTGTACATTAAGCTAATAAAATACAGTGGATTTTGGAATGCAAAAATAAAAAACAGCAACAACAACAAAAACCCCAAAACCAGAAAACTAAAGTTAGCTAAAAACTACAAAAAAGGAAAACTGAGAAGTTCTTAGTCTGGTTAGTGATTCCTAGGCAAGTCATTATTTAATACATAAAAATGTTAGCTTTGGCATTGAAGGTAAGTTCCCAAGGCTATAATGATAAAGTAAGATCCACATCAATCTAAAGTTCCCATTCTTCCATCCCACCACACCCTCCCTCCCCCAACTCCATGTTTAGACTGGGGAAAGGGATAAATTATACATGGAAATACAGTAACTACCTCTGAATACTCCATGAAAAAACAACAGAGAAGCTACTATTGGGGTCCAGGAGTTCGTGTATCATTTTCTGCTTACTGGGTGGGCTGATGGTCCACAAAGAATTTGAGTTTCCTTCCAGTTCTGCTACTGTTATGTCTTCTTTTTCATAATTTTCCAGAAATTGCATAGCACCCTGTATGTGCACAAATGCACATGCATAAATAGATTATATGCATCATGCTGTATAAAGAAAGCAGTCACTCTTCCTTTTAACTGGCAGTATGGAAAAGGTTTCTCCCTTTGAAGGGAATATTTTTATAATGGATGGTCTTGAGTGTTCCATTGCACTAATTTGGCTTCCTTACCCACAGGTATGGGCAGTTTCCAGTTACATTATCCAATCCCAGCAGTTGCTACCATCAATACAGCTATGGAATCATTCCAGTTAAACAATAAAGGAAAAACAGATAATTTAGTGTCATTTTTCCTTTCCACTAAAAAGGAAATTTATCACCTATGGGGGAACGTCTCTGTCATGAGAGAGACAAAACAATCTGCTCAGGACATCCCAACCCTCTCTGAAGAACTGCTCATTGTTCCAGATTAGTTTTGACAGTGTGCATTATAGGTGATAATTTTACAGAAGAAAGAAGCATCTCCTTCCTATTCACTCTCTTAAATAAAAAAAAATTATTTATAAGACAAATTTTAATGATGAGGATTATGTTATATTATTAACAGTGTGGAATATAGACAAGAGAATAACATCAGCCACCCTTCTGCTACCAGAACATAATTGTTGTTTTAAGTTTTAGGGGATGTATTTCTTATTTTTTGTAATTTTAAAAATAATAGCCTTTTTAAAATTTATGTTTTAGTTTGAGAAATTGTCATGTCATTTATAGTCTCTGTAATGAATTTTTTAATTACAAAATAAGTTGCTTAGAAAATCTTTGGACAACATGGCACGTAAATAAAATGAAAAGTAGAAGCTCCTTCTCCTATTATGACCACTCTAGAGTATCTTGCCAATCAAATTCATGTAATACATCTGCCTTAATTTCCTCAACCAGCTCCTGTTTGCTGAACCGCAAATTGCCTCTAGTTCTGCTAATGCAGAGAATGCACTCATAAGCCAGTGCCTAGATAGAGCGTTCTCATATTTTGAATTACTTCTTAGGACAGATTCCCAGAGTAGGCCTACTAGTCAAGAGATGAATATATACCACAATTTAAAAAGTTAAACAATTTTTAAAATGGATCAATATTTAAATGTTTATTACCACTAATGTCCAACAACATAGACATAACTTCTTAGATTATCAAAGTAGCCAGTGGCCAGGAATGTGCTCTATGTAACTGATAAACCCTGAAAAGTCCTCCTTCCCACCACCTCAGGCCATGGCAAAGCATTAAATGACAATGAGTGAACTTCCCTAGATGAGAGGTCTTCACAGAAATCTACTATAGGGATTTACTTACGGTGTCCCTAGAAAAAGCTTGTATAAATTTGTTAAAGCTCTGCTGGTCCATAACTTTCAACTGGCTTTGTTGGGCACTCATTGTGAAAATAGGCTGGAAAACAAAGAGAACAGTGTTGTCAATATTCCCCAGCTCTTCTCTGCATCCTGAGTCAAAAGAAAAACATTTATGTAGGATATCAGCCCATTTATGTAGGCTATGTTTATCCCATGATACATGGCATCCGAGATCTCTTTTTGGAGTGATTATTCCCGTGCTCAAGACCAAAGGGAAACTAGTCTCTCAGTGTCTTCTGCACCTTATTCATACATCAAGTATTTGCTGAGCAGTCAAATGCCGACAGCAGGGTCGGCAGCCCATGACTAAACACCCTACAGACAGCTATCATAAAGGAATGTGGCGTGGGGCAAGGCTCTGGTAGGTGGGGTGTGCACAGAGATCACCTGATACCCTCCCAGGGTAATTGTGACGGAGACGTCCAGGGGCTGGTTGATGACCCCAGCCACAGATTTGATCAAAGACATGAAGAGAAGAGGAAACCAGACAATGCAGATGAGCAGGACGATGATCATTCCTCCCATGCCATACTTCACCACTTTCTTCTTCTTCTGGCCCCGTGGCTGAGGGTATCTCTGCAACAGAGAGTTCAGACAAGGCTCAGGCTCAGGCTCAGGTGCTTTCCCGCAGGCAGCGGGATTGGGGGAGAGCGAGTGCTCTTCCTGTGGTGCTGGGAACATGGATTTGGCCCTGAATCTTCTCTGTTCGCTCTGAAATGGGGATAGCAACCTTGTCCCAATCTCGAAATGAAGTTAGGTAGTGATGTGAAGCTGTCCTGAGGTCGCTCCAGTACCCCCTGGTGGATCCACAGGGGCCAACAGGACTTAAGCGGCCTTCTCCCTTCAAGACTGTGGGTGGGTTTTCCTGGTGATGAACTCCTGGACCAAGGGATCAAGTATCCGGCCGAATGAACCTTCTGGTTTTAAGGGATTATGTGAGAGAAAGATACTTTACTTTCAATTCCTGAATATTTAAAATCTGTGCCTTTCAGTTGACCCTTCCCTGCCCTTGGAGGGTGAAAAAACATGATTTTTAATTTAATTCATGACACGTGTTGTTAAAGACAATGTTGTTCGACACCTAAGGTAAGATTTGTATGATTAGAAGAGCCCCCTCTGGGCACTGGCTGTAGGGAGTGGGGAGAGGGCAGGTGCGTGTTGCAGGGGCTCACTCTCCTACAGGAGCCTGTGCACCAGTAAGGCTGGGAGCACTTCTGTTTGCTTTAATATAGATTCATGAAGGACCCACTAAGCCCCCTGCTTAAAGACTATGGACAAGTGGAAATTGGAGCTGTGCTGTCTGGCATTGAACCTGCTTCTGATCTACATGTGTGTTCTTTCTTCAGTGTTGCTGCTCCATGACCTCCATCCTTTCAGGGTTACCCCTCAGGCCAAGCTACATGCAGAACATGGGGTCAACCCCACTCCCCGACTTGGCAATGTGATTTATCTTCAGGAGGGATCCATTCATTTCAGCAGATTAAAGTAAGGAAAAATAATCTAACATTTACCCATAGGCACTAGCCATAGATTACACACCAGGAGAGAGACCTGGGAGTCAGTACAGGACATGACTACAGTGGCTTTTACAAGCCTGGACACTAAGTGCCAAAGATGGTGCCGGAAATATGAGAATGGAGGCTTGACTGGGTGGTGGGCCAGGGCCAGTGCGTAGTGCACTCTGCATTCAGTGTGCATAAGGCAATGCACCCTATGGATCTGCACTATGGAGACTGCATGAAGTTCAGATGGTAGCAGTGCATTTTGATATTTTTGCACTGGCATTTGATACTGTTGACTATTTTCAACAGCATCAAATATGGATAGCAGTAGCAGTGTATTTTGATTTTCTTCCCGATTTTCTATATTGAAAGGAAGACTAGGGTCCCATATTTTAAAATCTGAAATATATATTCACAAATATATATACACACATACATGCTTCCACACATAGATATGCAAACAAGTGTATAGATTTGCTCTTTCATTATTTTCTCAGTGAGGCAAATTTAGATCATAGGCCACTCCTGTCACTCCAACAGCACCCACACTGGATCATGAAAGTTTTGCAAGTTAAAGAAGATTAATGTATCTCTGCCAAGGGCGGTTTTAGTCTGTTCCACCTGAAGTGGGACCACATTGGTTCCTCTCCTGAAGGCCAGTCTCTTTGAGGTTCATCTCAAAAATTCCCAGAGGCTTCTCCCTCCTTCTGCTCAGCCCTCACACTGCCTTTCCAGGGGACAACAGGGGAAAGGCCTCTTAATCCATCTCAAATTACGCAGCCAATTTTCCCCTCCTCTCGAAATTTTCTCCCTTCCTTCCTTCCTCCTACCCTCCCTCCCTCCCTTCCTTCCTTCCTTTTTCCTTCCTTCCTTCCTTCTTTCTCTCTCTCTTTCTTTCTTTCTTTCTCTCTCTCTCTTTCTTTCTCTGTCTTTCCTCTTTTTTTTTTTTTTTTTTTTTTTTTTTTGAGACGGAGTCTTGCTCTGTCGCCCAGGCTGGAGTGCAGTGGCGCGATCTTGGCTCACTGCAAGCTCCACCTCCTGGGTTCACGCCATTCTCCTGCCTCAGCCTCCCAAGTAGCTGGGACTACAGGTGCCCGCCACCATGCCTGGCTAATTTTTTGTATTTTTAGTAGAGACAGGGTTTCACCATGTTAGCCAGGGTGGTCTCAATCTCCTGGCCTCGTGATCTGCCCGCCTCGGCCTCCCAAAGTGCTGGGATTACAAGCGTGAACCACTGCGCCCGGCCTGTTTTTTTTTTTTTTTTTCTTGATGGAGTCTTGCTGTCGCCCAGGCTGGGGTGCGGTGGTGCAGTCTCAGCTCACTGCAACTTCCACCACCTGGGCTCGAGAGATTCTCATGCCTCAGCCTCTCAAGTAGCTGGGACTACAGGCACACATCACCACACCCGACTAATTTTTTATATTTTTAGTAGTGACAGGGTTTCACCATGTTGGCCAAGCTGGTCTTGAACTCCTGACTTCAAGTGATCCACCTGCCTTGGCCTCCCAAAGTGCTGGGATTACAAGCGTGAGCCACCACATTCAGCCTCCCCTCCCTTTTCAAAGGCATTGTCCCCTTCCTGTCCTGCGCTGCTCCGTTACCCCTTTCCTAGGCCATTCAACTCTTTCTTTTTTATTTTTTGAGATAGTGTCTTGCTCTGCTGCCCTGAGATAGTCTCTTGCTCTGCTACCCAGACCAGAGTGCGGTGTCGTGATCATGGCTCATGGCAGCCGCTGGTAACTCAGCTCCTCACTGTGCTTCCTGCTTGGTGTTCCTGTTGCACTGCATTTCCAATCAGCTTCCTGAAATGTTCTGGAAAGTGGTGCATGGAAGTCATGGTATAAGCAGAATAAGAGTGAGTGGCCTGCACTGTGTGTGCTCGGACCAACATTTTGCCTTTCAGGTTATTGCTCTTGCTTCATAAAGTGTGTTTGTAAAGCCCCTGCAGCCTGTCACATTCAATGTGGAATCACACCCAGGAAGAGTTACTGTTAAGAGCAGCTTATTATTCCACTTCATTCCAGACAGGGGATCAATAATAGTAACTTTTCAGACTAGTACTAACCAGGGCCAGATTCATTCAGACTCCCCAATATCACCTCCCACTTACCTAAATGTCTCAGGAAGTTTTGCCATGGATGATTTCAAAGGCTAATATCCTGAAGTAGCCATTGGTTTAGCATAGGATGGAAGTATATACTTAAGTAGCTGTGATATATTAAAATGAGGCTTCTTATTTCTTTAAAATAAAAAGGTAATTTAAGTCTTTGTTGGCATGCATGCCTCGAGTTATAGGCCAGAACGAGCCTTCCCTCATTGGGAGGCGGGGTGGTGGCTGCAACCACCTCATGACAGTGTGAAAAATGTCACCTGGTGGCTCCAAGGCAGTGAGCTGAAGAACAGAGCAGCTGCCGCTTCTTCCAACAAACACGGTCTTGCATCCGTGCAGATGGTCACACTGGGTGGGATCATTCAGGGGCTTTTGTGATTTGGAAACCCCCTTCCTAAGCACCGTGACCTGTTCGCCCAAGTGAAACGGCGTCTCACTGTCAGTTTCCCGAGCCTTCTGGCAGCTCTTGTACCTAAAGGGCCTTGTCTTCCCATGCTCTCAGCAGAGGAGCTCCCCCATCTTATGGAGAACGCAGGCTGCGGGCACGAGATTGCGCCTTACTGGCCTCTCCTCCTCCTGCCCTTTCTGCAGGATGGTGATGGCTCTTTGCCACAACTGACTCGCTCACTTGTGCCTCTGACTCTACAATCTCCAGACCCCCATCAGAACTTCCTGATATTAGAATTTTTACTATTTTCTTCTGGCTTTTCCTTATCGTCTCCAGAGAGGTCCAAACACTCCCCATTTTGAAATTATCCTCTGGGCTTGCTTCTCTTTTGAACTAATTATCTCTCTGTGCCCTTGTTGGGCTTGATCCCTCCAAGACGCTGCCTCCAGTGAGCTCCTAAGTCCCTGCAGTTGGGTGTCAGCACCCATCCTACCTTTGAAACTCATTGTGCAAAGATCACTAGCAATCTAGCGAATATAAGATTCAACATCTATTCTCAGTATTCACGTATCCCAAACTCTACATATTTGGCTTCTTGAATTTCTCTTCTCTCTCTGGGTCTAAAAATGTGGAAGGAATGAATAGATGAGGATAGAAGAGTAGGATAGAAGGTAAACCAGGAAAGAACCAGTAGCTTAAGCTCCAGAGAGTCAGAGACAAGAGAGGATGGGTGGATCTATTTCAGGTAGCCAGGACAGCATAGGGAGGCACTGAGATATGTGCGTTTGTAAATAGGCAACTCTTTTTAGTTGTTGCTCAACAAACATTTACTGTGTGTCTAGGCTCAGGGTATTAAGTGATTCCTAGGCCATATATGGATGAACAGACACTGAGCTTGCCATCACAGAGCTCATAATAGACAGAAAAAGAGACAACAAGCCCCAATGTGGGAAGTATTAAGGGTTGTTGGGGCCCACAGTGAAAGATGGGGTCTAGACTTGAGGGGTTAGGGCAGGTCCATGGAAACAGAGGTGTCTTCATTGGTATCTGGAGGTTGGGAAGGAGTTAGGCAATGAGGAGGTGGAGAGGATGTTTCAGACAGTGCAAAGATGTGTCAAGGCCTTATCTAGCAAATAAAGATATGATCTTTATTCAATGGATGGCAAAAGATCCACTGAATAACTCCCTGTAACAGTGGAGGAGAGGAGACAAGCGTCAGGGCAAAGGACCTAGGAACCAAGATAAAAATGTAGATGCTTTCCCTGTACCCAGTCAACTTACACTCTTCCATTAGCTCTCTGTTTCAGACCTACGCCCTACCTTCCTGAGGCTCTCAAAGTATCACGTGCCCCTCTGCCAAAGCATCTGTCATATATATTGAATTTATTTGTGTCACCATTTTATTTTTCTTCACCTTTTATTTTGAGTTCAGGGGTACATGTGCAGGATGTGCAGGTTTGTTACATAGTTAAAAGTGTGCCATGGTGGTTTGTTGCACAGATCATCCCATCACCTAGGTATTAAGCCCAGTGTCCATTAGCCATTCTTCCAGATGCTCTTCCTCCTCACTCCCCGCAACCCATGACAGGCCCGCCCCAGTGTGTGTTGTTCCACCCCATGTGTCCATGTGTTCTCATCATTCAGCTTGTGTCACCATTTTATTAACACCTGTTTCTGTCCACTGAGCCATCAGTTCCGTGATGGTGAGGCATTGTATGTTTGGGTCACCACTCTACTCTCATGCTTAGTAGAGTTCTGGGCACATAAGAATGTGCTTAGTCTTAGTCAATGTTTATAGTAGGCTGCAAAAATAAAGGCTTCAAATTCATCTCAATCCTGTAGGCATGACCCTTTGCAACATGACTTTGCCAACCCTATCATTTACTCCATACTTTGGATCTAGGCTGGCCTTTAAACTTGCTCCAAGTAGAAGAATGTGGTAGAAGCACTGGTGGTGGAACTCTGAGCCTAGACCTCACAGGGCTTTGCAGGTTTCCCTCTCGTTCTCTTGGAATGTGCTGCCACGAGGGGAAGAAGCCTGGGCTTGTCTCCCTAAGGATGAGCGAATACATGGAGAGAGAGGCCTGGCTAAGAGCCAGATGCAACCTGCAGGTGTCTGAGTGACACCATCGAATAACACCCAGTTGGGCCACCAGACGATAGCAGCCACAGGACTGACTCCAGGCAAGACTATCCAGTGGAGCCCAGCCCACACTGCTGACCTACATAATTGTGAGCAAATAAAATGATTGTTTATTTTATTTTACTTTATTTTATTTGATTTTATTTTACTTTAAGTTCCAGGATACATGTGCAGAATGTGTAGGTTTGTTACATAGGTATACATGTGCCGTGGTGGTTTGCTGCACCTATCAATGCATCATCTAGGTTTTAAGCCCCCCATGCGTTAGGTATTTGTCCTAATACTATCCCTCCCCTTGCCCCCTACCCCCTGACAGGCCCTGGTGTGTGATGTTCCCCTCCCTGTGTCCATGTGTTCTCATTGTTCGGCTCCCGCTTATGAGTGAGAACATGCGGTGTTTGGTCTTCTGTAGCTGTGTTAGTTTGCTGAGAATGATGGCTTCCACCTTCATCCATGTATCTGCAAACGACACGATCTCCTTCTTTTTTATGGCTGCATAGTATTCCATGGTGTGTATGTGCCACAATTAAAGAGTTGATTTTTAAACCACTGTATTTGGAGGTAGTTTGTTAGCAGCAACAGACAACTGATATATCTGTCGAATGAGTGATTCCAGGGTCTGAAGTAGACTTAGGGCAGAGGTTTCATAAGTCCCCTGTGTGTGATCCTTTGCATGTACTTTGGGGTAGCTTTGGTTGTTAGAAATTCTTCATATTCCATTGAAACATACGGGAGCTTTTGCCTACCTGTCTTAATTCTGTTTTTCTTAAGTCTCACAAATTAATTTCAATTTCTCATCTCTTTCCAACATTTCAAATTGTTAAAAACATCTACTTTTTCTGCACAGATACCCCTATTTTTTTTCTACTTTAGACCAAACAATCCCTAGTTCTTCCTACTTTTCCTTGTGTGTCAGGATTTCCAGACGCTTTGGCACCCTAGTTGCTACCCTCAATGTTCCTTCGATAGAGAGGCTCTCATATTCTGGCATCCTGTCAACTCCTCTGCTCCTTAGAAATCAGGACAAGCAAATATGATTTTAAGTATATTGCCAGCCCCATCTCCCTCACTTCACAAACCCATAAACAGAGAGCACAGTACAACAGGCCCCATGACTGTAACGCTGAAATTCCCAGGGAAAGCTGCAGAACACACCAGGAATCATACAGAGGAGCCTTTTTCAAGGAGGGTATTTTGAGACGAGAAAGAAAGACATTTCATATCACCCCAGCTAATGTTTTTTGGGTATTCCTATTGCTCTTATGCAACAGACTCTTCTTCCATATATTAAACTTCTGAGAAGTGCAATAAATAATAGTAATCTAGACATATTTAAACCTTAATATTCAGCCTGGCAGAATAAGCAGATATTTGCACTTCAATTTTCTTTGCACAAAGAGGTTAAATTGTCCATCCCTCTTCAAAAAGTGAGTCAGAAGTAAGCATGAGTCCAAGCCACCACCAGCCCCACTTTTCTCTATAACATCACATTCCTTTCTGCTCCCAAAGGAGCCATTTAAGAGTTGTTGGGATATAGCAAGCAATATACCGTTTTTTAAAAATAACTACAATATGAAGTTGCCGAAAGAAGAAAACATCTGGATGCTATTGACGACTATGACGGCAGTAAGTCTAAATTCCCAACTCTAGTGGGTTGGAAATCACTGGGACATTTATAGGTTGTGGTAGTTTTTGCCTCATGCCTTCATTGTGAGCAGAAGTTCACATTCATCTTATAACCAGCCTGTATCTAAGAGAAGCAGACAGGAATAAGGCACATCTCCTGGCTTCTTACCTTCTCCGACTCCCGCCAACACTTCAGGATGAATATGTGAGCATAGATGTCCTCCACACAGATCCAGCTGGACAGGCTCAAAGTTGTGTCCGTCCACACCCAGTCCATCACTGCCCTCAGCTCAGTCAAAAAGGGCACGAGGCGAAACCTGGCAGGAAACACATCTCGTCAGAGAGACATTCGTGGGTGGCCCCCACCACCCTGCTCACCCAGGAGCTCAAGCAGTTCCTTAACTGCTTTAACCTCATGACTCAGAAACAATTCTCTAGGTGACCCTTCCAGTAAAACCCAACTTGGAACACAACTGCTTTTCATTATAAGTCGAATCTATGGATTTGTATTTTTTCATTCTTTTCCTTTTCTCTGATGATCATAACCAACTGGGATCTCCCTTTTAAATAAGTGTGAAGGTGTGAAGGTGACTCAGCTTCTTTCACATTTATTTGTTCATGTTACGAGACCCTTGGCCATGCGGTGCTGAATGACTGCGGCTCTGTTGCTGGATGAGTTAGTAGGGGTGGTGCACCTGGTAGGTTAAAAATGAGGGCAAATGGATAAAGGCAGAGGGAGAAGGAGAGGTTGTAGGGAGCCAGGGTGTGAGGCCCCTCAGCCGCAGGACTTGCTGGAGTACCACAGTGATGGTGTTGGCTCAGCCTCTGTGGTTCAGTTGTGTTTCAGAAGGGATTGGCCTGGGCTCCTCCAGGCTCTGAAGAATTTTCCTTGTCTCTTGACTGACACAGAGCTTCTCCCAGCCTGGAGAATCTGGGTTCTCCCAGGGCCCTCACAGCAGTGTGGATTGCCACTCAGAAATTCTCCCCTAGGATGCCTCAGCCCTGTCAAGTGAATATAAATCCAATCCCTGGAAGCAACATCAGGCCCAGTCACAGGCTAGCACTGTATGAAACACGACCCCACACACAGCGCTTCACAGCATCTGAAGGCACTCGACACCTCTTCTGTCTGGTGCTGAGGAGGAGCCAGCAGTGCCACGGACTGTCTCACTTTTTATGCCGTGGTTTAATTTGCGAGAGAACAGAGAGGAGATGCTACTGCTGAACTTGTCACATAGAAGAGCACATGTGCTTTGAGTAGTTAACTTGCTACGTGGGCACACAGGTGATGGCATTCAGGTTGGTGTTAGGCAGAAAGAATGCTCCTTTTCAATGGAGGAACTTACTGTATACAAAAAATTCTAAGGATAATTTGGAATTCCCAAGTTATTTGGAATAGTCCAGGCTCCACATGCTGTGTTCTTTTGTGCCCAGAAGTATATAAATACTTACAGATCATGTATCCCTATTTTTCATTCTCAAATATTATCACAGTAATTATGCAGGATACTAACCCACGTGGATGAATGTAGAACAGCACCTGGACAGGCTTGTGGCAATTAAACATAGAAAGGTGTTTAAAGAGGCATATTTGTTCCTTTGCCAACATCGTAAGAGTTCCACAACGATTCCCACTGCTGAATTCATCCTCTCCCCCTTACTTCCCAGTTGGGAATCAAAATGCCTTTCCACCGCTATTCTTCCCCCATAAGTGACTGTGACGTTGCAGAGCGTCCTACCCTTGGAATAAGAAGAGGTTGACGTAATTGTAGCTCTTGGTGAGGAAGTTCCCCAGGACTCGCGTTGGGTAGCCACAACGGATCTGGTAAGCAGACAACCCGAAGTAAACACATTTCACAAAGTACCAAAGCTGGGCAACCAGGTTCTGGCTGAATTTCCTAAAATGTAAAAGTACAGAAAGTGAAGCAATGAAATACTCTTCTGAAACAAAAGGATGGCAGTGTCAAATTAAAACAACAGGCCAACAGAATTTCCCCTTCATCATTCCAACTCAATTCTAATGAACTGTCTACACATAGTGGATCACTTCAAAGGCAAAAGGTGGGATAAAAAAATTCAATAATTAAAATGATTTCCTGTGAATGGTGCCTCCAATCTGTCTTATACTGTTGTTTAGGCCATAATTAAAATAAATTATTAAGTGAATTTACTGATAAATATTTTCTCACTATGTAGATGATGCAGCTACCATAGTCCAAATTAGACTCCTGAAAGAAAAAGCCTATATACATTATATATATGATATATTAAAAATATATATAAACACACACACACACATATATATATATATATATAGAGAGAGAGAGAGAGGATCCATTTGGAATATGTAGGAGAAAGAATTCTGATAGGTGGACTCTCAATTTCTTTTTACTATTCATTATAAAAATAAGTAATGGATTAACAAACTCTGGAAACACCTGGATTTGGTTCCAGTTCTGTCTATATGTTATGGGGTTTGTTTCCCAAGCCATCATTTCTCAAGACATCAGTGTCTTTATTTGATAATTCTTCCTAGTTCTGCAAATCTATAACTCCATGACCTGATGTTTATTTATTTTTAATGATTTCCTCAACAGTACAGATGGTAGTCTTCTCTCCAGGTGAATAGTGAAGAGACATAGTATTGTACAGTTCAGGACTGCTAGCACAAGTTTGAAAAAAAATAGTAGAATTAAATTTCACACTAGAAAAACATTTTAGAATATAATTTCAAAGAATGATGAGCTATAGGACCACTTTAAACTTTGGATAAATGCAGCATTCTCCAAATGTCTTAAACATGGTCAGTACAGATTTTAAAAAGGAAATAAAAAGAAAACTTTTGACTTGGTAAGAGTTTGGTATAATCTTCTCTGTCCTTAAAATTAAGATCCATACTTGAATGTTTTGATACAAGCACCATATTTCTCTCTGTGCCATATTTTGGATTTGTCCCCTGCCTCCCTCCCTCCCTTTCTTCCTTCCCTCCCTCCCTCCCTTCTTTCTTTCTCTCTCTCTCACCCCTTCCTTCCTTCTTGCTTCCTTCTTTCCTTCCTTCTCTTTCTGTCTCTCTCTTGCCCACACCCCCGTGGAGATATCTAATGGTTCCAGCACCATTTGCATTTGTTGAAAAGACTGTTCTGTCTTCACTGGATGGCCTTTGCACCTTCCCTACATCAGCTGAATTGGGACTGTGGGTCTTCTATTTCTGGACTCTCTGTTCTGTTCCATTGTTCTGTTCGTCTGAATCTTGAGGCTACACCTCACTGCTTGATCATCACAGCTTTATAATAATGCTTGAGGGCAGGAAGAATAAGTGCTCCAATACTGTTCTTTTTCAAAGTTCTTTTAGTTCTTCTAGATCTTTTGCAATTCCATATGAATTTTTGTCAGCTTACCAAATTCTACCACAAAATCTTGCTGGGAATTTTGATGTGCACCGTGGTCAATCTATAGATCAATTTGGGGAGAAACTGCATCTCCCCCAAATTCATGAGAAATTCACAAGTATTTTGATGCATGAATTTAAGTCTTCTTGATTTATTTAGGCCTTCTTTAATTTCTCTCAGCCATGCCTTTTATATTTTCATTGTACAAGTCTTGTACATGTTTTATCATATTTATCCCTAAATATGATAGTTTTTCATATTTTTAATGGCATTGTAAATGATATTCTTAAAAATTCAAATTATTGAGCATTTATTACTTGCATATAAAAATACAATTGAGTTTTGTATGCTGGTTTTGTATCTGCAAGCTTCCAAAGTTCATTTATAACTTCTGACAGCCTTATTGTAGATTCCACCGGATTTTCTATATAGGCTGTCATATCTGCCGCATGGTTTTGCTTCTTGCTTTCCAATCTGGATTTTGTGTGTGTGTGTGTGTGTGTGTGTGTGTGTGATGGAGTCTCACTCTTTGTCACCCAGGCTGGAGTGCAGCAGCGCAATCTCAGCTCACTGCAACTTCTGCCTCCAGGGTTCAAGCGATTCTCCTGCCTCAGCCTCCTGAGTAGCTGGGACTATAGGCGCGCGACACCACATAAGGCATTTTTTTTTTTTAAGACGGGGTTTCACCATATTGGCCAGGCTGGTCTGGTATCTAACTCCTGACCTTGTGATCCACCTGGCCCAGCCTCCCATAGTGCTGGGATTACAGGCATGAGCCACCATGCCCAACCCAATCCGGATGTCTTTTATTTTTACTTATTTTGCTGGCCTGGGATTAGGATCTAGTATCACCATTCACTGGCTGAATGACTTTGGGGAGATCACTTTTCTTTCTGGGTTGTATCTATCTTAATCTGCAAAATTAGGTAATAGGCTTGGAAAGCGTTTTAAGGTGTCTTTCTTCTCTGAAATTAAGAGTTTCTGTGAAGGTTGGTTTTGTACTGAAAAATGTATTTTATGTATTCTATTTTAAATACCTACAAACAATATTCACAACACTCTCATGAAAAAATTATAATATTTGTACAAGCAGTGGCGTTCATCTGAATTATTATTATAGCCTGGGCTATATTTAATCTCCCAATATATGGTGTGGAATGGAGAACTGGGTTATTGTGTCTCTTCTGGGTAACAATCCTTTATTTAGTTCTACTGTAGACTCAGGAAAAAGTATCCCAATTCTACTTTCCTTTAAAAATATCTGCATTGTCACCATTTATTATTATAAAGCAATAATTTTATAATTAGAATTTATTTTTAATAATAATTTTTATAATTATTATAAAGCAATAATTCCTATACTGAAATCGAACGGTCAGAACCTAAACACTCAAACAAAAGCAGCCATTAGGCTCTGGCTACTGTTAGAAGCAATTTGGATTTTCTCAATAGGAATTACACTTGAACTGGTTTACTTATGAGCCACATACGTAAAATCCATTTTTTTTATTACTTTCTATTCATTCTTCCCAAATGATATTAGCCTGCCTGTTTGATATGTTATTCATAAGACTTGGCTACAAATGACTCAGAGGTGTGATCAAAAGATCAAATTTTCTGTTAAGCATGAAGATTTTCAGAGATACCTGAGGATGTTTAAAATAGTACATCATTGACCGGGCACAGTGGCTCATGCCTGCAATCCTAGCACTTTGGGAGGCCCAGGCAGGAGGACTGCTTGAGTCCAGGCCTCTGAGACCAGCCTGGGTAACATAATGAGACCTCATCTCTACAAAAAATAAAAATAAAAAATAGTCAGGAGCGGTGATGTGCACCTGTATCCCCAGCTGCTCTGGAGGCTGAGGCGGGAGGATTGTTTGAGCCCAGGAGTTCAAGGTTGCAGTGAGCTATGATCATGCCACTGCACTCTAGCCTGGGTGATGGAGTGAGATTTTGTCCCTAAAAACAATAAATAAATAAATAAATTTTTTAAAAAACTAGCATGTCACAGTCTGGGAGTGCAGTTCCAGAGGAGGCTTTCAGAGCCACAGCAGATGATGGCAGCTTCACTGGATTAGGTATGTGGCTCCCCAGGCCAGTGACGAAGAGTTATAGTTTGCTTGTGTACATAAAATCAGATATGCTTATTAAAAATTCCTATTCCTACTACATCATATGGACAAGGCCACATTCACCTTCTGCAGAGCCTTTTCTTTCATAACCTGACAAAGCAGATATTTCCCATTTATAAAACTCCACTTTGTTTTTCTTTGCCGAAATGACCAGATCATTTGTTCATCCATGAGCACCAACTGTCATAAACACTGTTTTGCCTGGAGGCGTGAGGTGGGAGACAGTCTATAGAGAAGTGTTATCTGAACAGAGATCTCGAGAGTAAGGAGGAAGTAGACTTTGGGTTGGAGGCTGGGGAGAAGAAGGCTGGGAGGGAGCAGAGCTTGGAGATGCCAGGCACACTGGGGAACTGAAGGTCAACACCCTTTCCTTAGGGTTCTAGGTGACAGAGGGAAGCACAGCAGCCACTTTGAAGGATCTTACCAGCCCTTTCCTGACAGCTTCTGGCCACCCTGACCAGCAGCACTAGTTGTATTAACAGCAGCAGAGTCCAGCAGGATGGGTCTGCGTGCTTCTCTTACCACAAGCTGAGACATTGCTAGGTGCTTTCAAACCTCGCTGCAGTTAACCCCCACCAGTCTCCTATGTGGAGACTCTATCATCTGCTCCCCAACCCTCTCCCTCTATCTCTTCTTCTATCCATTAAGCATCCTCCATTTGTTCATCTATTTCTCTCATGACTTAGTCTGTGCCTTCTCTCCCTCTCAAAAATGCCCCCAAGACCATATTCCACTTTACCTCCACCTCTGCTAAGGTGTAGAGAGAAACACAGCACAAATACCCTAGGTTTGTTCAGGTTATTAAGGCTGTCACCGTTGTTATTTATAGAAACCTTATTTCTACAAATGTAGATAATATGTAATTAAAATATTTTTGAGGAATCAGTTCACACTTTGGATTTGCGTTGACTATTGACCCAAACCTTTAGCTCTTCCTACCCGTGGTGCTGCTGTGCCAAGGCTCTGCCTGTGGCCAGCAGTTCTGCTGTGCAATGCATGCGAGTATCACCTCAGGAAACACAGTTGCATGGAGGCAGGTTGGTGCCTCTGGCTTCTGAAGACCTTACCTCTCAGTCACACCAGGTAAGATGAAGAACATCCAGAAGTGAATTCCGAACACAAGAATGACCTGGAAGATGACCTTTCCCAGTACAGTCTTCCTGAGGTAGAGGGCTCGGTCCACCACCATGGTTCCAAACTGAATGAGGACCATCACCAAAAACGGCCCCGGGACCTGGTCCTCTGACAGTGAAGAGGTGATGTCTGCAGCTGCTGAGTGTTTCTGGGGAAGAGACAACAAATTCATGCCCAAGAGAGGCAATTCATGGCAGGAAGCGCCATCGCCATGGGTCAGGGCGGGTGCTGTGGCCTTTGCCCCAACCTACCCCAAAGGCCCAAAAGCCGAAGACAATGATGATGAAGTCCACAGTGTCAGCCAGGAACATGAGTACATACACGTCAGTCACGGCGCTATACTCCGGGTGGATGAGGTTGTAAAAGAACTGTTTGATGGGCACATAGATCTCCAGCGTCCTGCAAAATGGAGACCCCCACCCCCAACCCACTTGTTTCAGGAAGGGCAGGATGGCAGAAATGACCAGACACTGCCATCATGCCACTCCTCTGCATTCCTCTTTCCAGTCAGGTCCCACCTTCCTCTCTCTGCCTCAGGATAGTCCCGCTGTGGACAGCTCCTGTTCTAACGGAGAGCGTATACACATTTACTGCCAAGATAGGTACTGCAGCCCTCTCTGCTGATGGCACCACAGCCCTCTCCTCTTGCTTGAAGCATAATAGAATGGTATGATGCCCTGGGAACGAGGTGTTGGGTTTGTAGCCTGATTCAATTGCTCACCACCGGCGAGAACCATGAGCATGCTATGTAACCTCTGTGTTTAGTTTTCTCATCTGTAAAACTGGAGTGATGAGAAGACCTGATGCCTAGGGCCAAGGTGGGAAGTAAATGAGGGAATGCATGAGGGCGCTCAGACTTGGAGTGCTTGGTCCATGCGCGTTTGAATGTGCAACGCCCCTGCTCCTCCTGTTTTAGGGCCTGTGTCCATGCTGGCTCCCACATACTCCCCTGGCCTTTTATCTATGCTTTGCTCTGTGCCTTAGTGTGGTGTCCTGTTGGCTCTTGCTTGTCTGTCTAACCTTTGCCCTATCTTTGCTCTGGGACCTGCCTTCAGTTCAACGCCACGTTCAGGTGCCACTGGCTCTCCTGCTCTCAGAGCCTCTGTCCAGGGCTCCACTCCCAGCTGGCAGTCCCAGTCCCATGCACCACTTCCATCCCCAGCAGGTGGAGGGACCTGTGTAGTGTGCTGGGTAACAGGTGTATGACCATGGACAAAGCATTTCCCCACCATGCACTTCCATCCCCTTCTCAGGATAAGAGTGCAGGTCTAAGGCCCTTCCAGCATTGACACTGTATTCCTCTCAGTCTGGCTGGACTTCACCATGATAATGCCTAAGAATACAATCCATGAGCCCTTGAAATGACCCATTTACTCTGTTCAAATAGAAAAAGCATGTGCATAAATGCAATGGATATAAAATGAATCACACTTACAGAAAAATGATTTTTAAAAACAAGACAAAAAGGGGTAATTTCATTCTGCCTTACGCAGATAACATTTGTGACACGAGAAGTTACTTCTCTGCTCTGCTCCTGGTTTATAGGAAATAATAAAGCCCAAAACCCTACAATAAAGCACACATGCCATATGTTCTCATGGACTCACTTCTTTATGGTAAAGGCTTTTGCTTTGATTAAATGTTCTTGAAGCTTTTCCATATAAAGTTCCCTTTTGCCTTTTTGCTTAATACTCAAAACACTGCTTCCTTTTTGACTGCTGTTTCGGGTGCTTGTGCTGCCTAGAAATAAAAAGAGATCATAAGATGGGTGGTGGAGCCTGGGGTTTGTTCACCTAAATATCCAAGAAGCAGAACCCAGAGCCCACATGGTGGAGGGATAGCTCAGGACTGTTTGGGAGGATGAGTATGCACGGCCTTGGGATTTGTCCTCAACTCTGCTCCCATCGCAGGCCTGTGGGGTTTAACACCCCATGGTGGCTCTTTCCTGGATTGCTATGCAATCTTTGTTTCAGAAGTAAATAAACTGGAAGGATAGTTTTTATTGTGCTAACTAGGGTACTAGGATGCAGGTGTTCCAGATAGGATGCCCCATGTCTGTTTTCCTATTCTAGTTTCTCTAATTGTAAAATGAATATGACATAATCTGCCAGTATCTGCCTCAAAAGCAGGTTCTGAAGATGACTATACACCACTGCATGGAAAGCTTCAGACAGGAGCCCCGTAAGTACAAAAGCTTCAGACAGGAGCCCCATAATTATAAAAGCTTCAGACAGGAGCCCCATAATTACAAAAGCTTCAGACAGGAGCCCCACAGATACAAAAGCCTAGTGATTCCAAGAGGGGCAGCTGTGAGGCATATCTACTTTCTGATTGTACTCGTTGTTTGGGAAAAAATTAATTACTAGACTAGGAAATAACCATAGTTTGGCTAAAAGTTCTCATCAATTACATCTAAATATGTTTAAAAAATACATTGTGATTGATAGCACTCTGGACACGCCCTGCAGATTTTTCGCATGTAACACAAATAAATTATCATGAGCCTGGCGTTTATTAGGTACAAGGCAGTGTGCCGGCCATTTTTCACAATTATCTGAAACCCTTGTCCTGAGATACAATAAGGTGTTTTGGGTAATGGGGTCACACAGCTGAGGCAGGATTTGAACTCGGGTTTCTCTGATTTCAAAGCCCTTTCTTTTCACATAACAATGTCTGTCTCTTGATAGCACCCAATACACTCCCTTGCCCCAGACCCACAGGCACCAGAAAAACAAGGCCACCTGGGAGCTAACTACAGCCTAGATATATTGTGTCGACAGATACCTCTTTGGGATCTGTTTGAAGAAAAGCTGGATCTCTGGGATGGCTCGGAGCTGCTGCCGGAGCGCTTCCTCCGGACAGCTGTCTGCTGCTCCGGGAAGGTCACATGCACTGACTCCACAGACGCGGCCAGGTTGATGGACTTGAGAGAATCGGAGGAGTCCCTCCTGCCATGACCGAGGGAGAGCTCATCATCTGATTCCTCCCTGGCCATGCCACTTTCAGTCATGTCATCTTCATCCCATAAGCCATGGCACTGAGAAAGCAGGGACAGGGACAAATGAGGCTACTGTTTCAGGTGGAACCCTTGGTATTCTGTCTTACAAAATCTCATCCAACAAACTGTCCTTCAAGATTAGAAAAGCAAGATGATATGGTTTGGCTGTGTCCCCATATCTCATCTTGAATTCCCACATGTTGTGGGAGAGACCCGGTGGGACGTAATTGAGTCATGGCGGCAGGTCTTTCCCATGCTGTTCTCGTGGTAGTGAATAAGTCTCATGAGATCCGATGGTTATAAAAAGGGGAGTTTCCCTGAACAAAGCACTCCTCTCTTTGCCTGCCACCATCCAAGTAAGATGTGACTTGCTCCTGCTCCCCTTCTGCCATGATTGTGAGGCCTCCCCAGCCGTGTGGAACTGGGGAGTCCATTAAAACTCTTTCTTTCGTAAATTGCCCAGTCTCAGGTATGTCTTTATCAGCAGCATGAAAACGGACTAATACACAAGAAAAGAAAGCTTGTCTAGAGCTTTATGAGGGTCCCAGTAGGGAAGAGATGGGTGGGTATAGATAATAAGATTTTAGCTGATAATTAAGATGGAGACAGATAGCTTTTGGCAGATGGACTAAGGAAGAAATTACAGTGACTTGACTTATTGGATGGAAAGTCACCCTGATGACCTTGCTGCTGTTGGACGGAGCTCTCCCCTGAGCTCTTTGGCCACGCATTTGCTTCCTAAGACATTGCCTGGTCTTCTCTCTGACTCGTACATGGAGGACAAGAGCTCCAGGCCAATTTGTCAGAAATCAGTTGGTCAAAACCAACTCCGAGAATGATCAATCCACCAGTCACTCATTTGACAGATGACTCTTAAATGTTTATTTGTAAATGTGTTATTCTTAAACATATTCAATGAATGTATTCTTATAAACATAACAAACATTTTAGCTTTTCGTAATGGGATTTTTCAGTTTATATGGATTTCTTTCCTATTATTTTAAGAGTTGTTTCCTCTTTGGCCAACCTTCATATATTTAGATTATTTCACAACTTTCTCAGTAGTATATTTACTTGTTTGCCAATTCTTCTAATTATTTATCAAATATACAGCAATTTGTATGAAATAGGATGGTTTCAAGCACTTTTGAAATTTCTGCAGTTTTAATTGTTTGGTTTTCATGGCAACATTATATGAAAGATTTATTTTTTCAAAAGCTATGGGGTAGCTTGTCTTCTTAAGAAAAGATTTATCATTCTAAAAACTATTTTTATATATTTAATTAAAATTTTTAACATAATGCCATTACCTCAAATCTCATATACATTCATATATTTGAAATTTTCAAAAAAAGAATAAGATCAATATGAAACACCAAGATTTTATTATATGTTTTAAATATAAAATTGCAGCAGTTAAGCCATTTGAACATTGATGAAAAGATAGTAAAAGTGCCTAAAGAGTTATAATAATTTTAAATGATACAAAAGAATGTAAAGGTTGCAAGAGAATTCTGAAGTGATCAAAATTATACCATCAAGTATTAAATACTGAAATTTAAAAAGTGAATTTCTAAGACTAAAAAACAAGGTTAATACATTTATTAATATGTTCATAACAAAAATCAGTATACTAAATAAATTCAAGTAATTAACATATCCAACAGAAGAACTGTAAGATTTAGGCAAATTCAATTTTTGCTAACTGATTTCCTTAGATACATAGCTTTCAAAAACCTGCCACAACCCAATGACCCAGCTAAGGCTCCCTCCAAATGGAGGGTTTGGGTACTTTGCAAAGTGATGGAAGCTAGAGTGAGGAGGCTGACCAGAGTACACTCAGATGAAACCGAGTTTGAAATAGCTCACTGAGCTAGGGCAGAAGAAGTTAAACACACTGTTACATATCTATGTGTGCATGTATGTATATGTACGTGTATGTATTAACTTATGCCAAGCCTGGTTCTAAAAAGGATTCTAGGGACTAAGAAAGATACTCCTGGATAAAAGGAATTTAAAATATTTTATATAAGAAGACAAGGTTAAGACGAGGGAAAGAAAGTAAGGTTGTAACAAGAGGTATATTCATACATAAAATCTATGCTATGCAATAATTTCTATTTATTAGAATTAAATGGCGTATTTACAAGTTTAGTTTATAATTCACAGCATGTGAGAAGGAAAAACCCATGAAGTTGCTCAGAAGGACAGGAGTCCCTGAGGCTGAGGCAGGGCCATGCTGTATAAAGGCCTTCCTCCAGCAGGATCATGAGTGGCCTCCTCCACAATAAGCAGGAGAAAGCACAGCTCTGGGTTTTACTGGGCAACTTTAAAGAATATGTGGTTTCTCACCAACAGCTAGTGGTTTCATGACAAGAAGCTACCCAATGAAAGCAGTACTACTAGAAGAAGGGAGGCAGAAGCTGGGATGGAGATGAGACAATATGATCCACACACATTGTGGCTGTCTGATGCTCTGGCTTAAATCAGAAGCAGAATTTAGTGTATCCGGCCTTAGAATATTGCACATCATTCAAGCAATGTTCCACAAAAGTGGATTCACGATTACACATTTAACCTAGGTTGGAAACATGGGGAAACATTCTCCCAGATTTATTGTAAGTTCCATTATTTAGCACCACAAGTGTTGGAAAAAATGTCAGCTAAATGAACTTAACCTTTTTCTTTTCTCTCTCTTTTTTTTTTTAAAAAAAACATATGAGTAGATACCACTCACTGGCCCCTCAGCCCCATCACCAATCCTGATGTCCAGGTTATCTAGGAAGATTACGGTCCAGGTTATCTAGGAAGATGACCAACTTGAACTGATTAATTGTTAACATGCAGTACCTTCAAAATTGATCGATGAAAGAACAGAGCCAGGAGCTGGATGAGGTCATAGAGAACATAACCTTCCTTCTTTTCCACTCCTATGATGTTTGGGGGGTGATACGGTTTATCTTTGTTCACCTCCACATTCTTATTCCAGGGAAAGAACCCAAATTGGAAGAAATACTTGACTACAATTGCCACCTACGCACAGATGACAGAAATTTTAAAACATTACTCCTTTTAGGAATAGATATACCTGTATATGGGAAAGAGCAATATAACAATTAAGAAAGAGACCCGCATTTCACAGTTTTGATGGTAGGCAGGCACATAATTATGTGGAATAGTAACATTATCATTCTCGCAGACTATTGACTTCATAACAGAAGCAGCATCTAACCGTCACAGTGTCTTTCACTGTAGATCCAGCAAGGCCAGTCAGACTTCTCAGGGCACCGCTTTGATTAGTCATTTCCTCTTTTTTGAGGTGTTGGCATTATACTTATTTAATTAGATATTGATATAATTACGCAGCTATTAAATATATTATTTAGGGAAACATGAACAGAACATACTCGTATCTTTCTAGTTTCTGTATTTCTTTAATTCGCAATCTATAGGAGCATATCACACGGTTAGGATGTATGTAGTTTTCACTTTCCTCCATCATATCTGTGTGCCACATTAGTCTGGGAGCCACTAAAAAACAGAAATGAATATTTGCTTTCTATTCATCTTTGTATTCTGGTGCGTAGCAGGGTTCTTGGTTTCTGACACGGGGTTTGTATGATAGAGTAAATCAACATCAAGAATTTCCCACTTACTTCAGTCCTCAGTGCAATGTGACAAGAAAAGGGAGAGCCTCAACTTAACTTATATAGAAATATTTTATTTATTTTTTTAGAGATGAGGTCTCAACCTCTTGCTCACGGTGGAGTGCAGTGGCACAATCACAGCTCACTGCAACCTCAAACTCCTGGGTGCAATCCTCCCACCTCTGCCTCCCAAGTAGCTTGGACTACAGGTGTAAGCCACCATGCCTGGCTAATGTTTTTTATTTTTTTGTAGAAATGGGGTCGTGCTATGTTGCCCAGGCTTGTCTTGAACTCCTGACCTCAAGTGATCCTCCTGCCTTGGCCTCTTAAAGTGCTGGGACTATAGCCAGAAATATTTTATTTTTAAGGTGAAATCTATACAAGAAGCTCTTGTTCCCTTTTCCACATTCTTGGTATTTCCTCTTACTTCAGCCCTAGGTAAGAAAGGGAATTTGATAAATGTACTCACATTGTTATAGACTGGCACCCATTCCCTAAACAGGCAGTCATTTACATCTTGAAGTGATGTAATGAAAGTAAAGTTTAGGGATGATTAACTTGGATTGGCCAATTCAAGCAATAGATATATATTTGACTTCACATCCTTTATTTTCCTTATGGAAATAAGATGCATGCTATCAATACTTTCAACCAAATACTTTTGAGATGCTTTACTGTATAGCTTTGTTTTAATTTTGCTACTGAATTACTTACAACCTACAAAACTTCTGGGCTTTGGGTGTGCATCTAGCATGAGCACTGTCATTTAAGAAGTAATTACAGCACTGTTGAAAGTGACAACTTTTCCTTACAAGTCAGGGAAGAAAATCAGTCTCTTCACAAACCTGAGAGCACAAAGCACCATGGTCGTCCAGGCACCAAGAATATCGAGCTTTTTTTTTTAAAGTCCCTTTATGGTTTTCATGGGCATTCGTGATCCTGTCTATGTTGAATAGGTCAGGACAGAAAAGCAGGAACATAAGAGTGAGCAGAAGGCTCCTCATACCCCGCATGGGATGAAAATGGGCTGACATCCACCCTTCAGATGCTAAGCGGGTGCTTGTACAATTTTGTGTTGCGACGTATGGAACTTTACGTTTACGTTTAAAAATGAAAAGTATGTATGATGTATTCAAACTATGTCCAAAGTGCCGGACTGTATGATTTAACACAGGGTCCATTCACTGAACCCCCGGTGGCGCCAGGCATTGTGCTCGACTCTGCAGAAGCCTGTTATCGTCTCAGTGATTAATATCGTAGGTTAGGCAACCAGGCTTCAAACGTGTACCCACCCCTCACCAGTTGGGCAACTCTGGCCATTTATTTAATCTCATTGATGCTGTGTCCTTATCTGTTAAATGGGAATGATGCCAGTACCCGCCGTGCGTGAGGTGTGCAGTGTGAAAAGATTTTTAGAATTGCGAGTGCTAGGTAACTGTTGCTGCTGACGATTTGTGTATCTAAGAATGTCTGTGGAACTGCATGTTCCATGTGAAACTGTCTGGGATCAGGGCAGGCCCGTCTCAAGAGAGGGCACAGGGACACAAGGTATGCTTCCCCTTGCATAGCCGCCTGAAGCCATCCACAGGGGTCTGCGTCCAGGCCTACCTCAGTATAGACGATGGCCATCATCCAGAACCGGCGGCTGGGCCTGGGGACGGACAACATGGCCCAGAGGAAGATGAGGATGGGAAGCAGGAGCGTGATCATGGAGGCAGAGACCATGTGGTTGAGGATGATCACGAAGTAGCACACCATCTCCGAGCGGGCCACCAGGGTATTGTACATGGCATAGAAGAGCAGCAGAAATCGGGGCTGCCCCACGTAGAATTTCTCTGACTCTTCAAGCTCATCGTCGTGAAACATCCTGTTAAAGCAAACCACATGATAATATGTCTATTTTTTTTCTTCTTTTTGAGATGGAGTTTTGCTCTTGTTGCCCAGGCTGGAGTGCAATGGCGTGATCTTGGCTCACTGCAACCTCCGCCTCCCGAACTCAAGCCATTCTCCTGCTTCAGCCTCCTGAGTACCTGGGATTACAGGTGCCTGCCACCACACCCAGCTAATTTTTTTGTGTGTATTTTTAGTAAAGGGACAGTTTCGCCATGTTGGTCAGGCTGGTCTTGAACTCCTAACCTCAGGTGATCCACCCGCCTCAGCCTCCCAAAGTGCTGGGATTACAGGCATGAGCCACTGCGCCCGGCCATGCCTTTCTTTAATTTCTCCAAATTACTGATTTTCATTTAGCACCATCCTTCCTGCTGTGTTCCCGGCTTCCTGTTTTTCCTTCAGAGACAACCTAATATCAGACCTTATTATAGAAAGAAATGTCAACACAAGGCTCTGGGTTTTGCTGGTTCTAGAACCAGTCATGGTAGGAGCGAAGTTTGCTTTGTACTTGCAGTGCAAGAAGTCTTGGAATTGTCTGTTTGCTCTAAGTGTCCAGATGAACTTTTTTCTATATATGAATTTTTCTGTATACAGAATTAGGGCATTATGTTTAAGTGGTGATTTGGGGATATGTGTCTGATCTGTTCACTGGACCCTTACTTTTTCAGCAGCAGCTCGCTGGCCGTCAGCTCATGGGTCAGGGGAGGTAAGATGCTGGACCCCAGCTTGTCGGTGCGGCTGTCGTCCGGGCTGACTGCCATACGGTTCTTGCCTGCAGAGTCGTCCTGCGAGCCGAAGGACAGATGCTCGAAGCTCACAGCCTTGCTGTAGGAGGGTGGGGCCTCCACATCCCCGTCCAAGGTGGAGAACTGTGTCAGCTCTTCCTCTGGGGTGAGGCTGGCCTCCTCGGCACCCATGGCTCCCACATCGTACCCAGTGGCCTCGTACTCCTTGGCCTCCCTGGGCTCAGGCGCCGTGCTCCCTGCCTCCTCCTCCTGCTCAGCCTCCACCTCCTCGATGGTCTCAGTGGTCCCCTGGCGTGAGTACAGCATGGTACACTGCGTGGGCTCGCTGTTGGGAGAAAGCGTGGGCACAGAGCCCATGTCTTAGCATCCACACTCCTGGGGTTCTTTCCCATTCCTGAGAGACCTCATCAGAACTCCTAAGGAAATGCCCCATTTTCCCCCCTGCATTCCATCTGCTTTGTTCTTTTAGGATAATCACTCCTGTTCTGCAGCCACTGCAAACAGCAGCCTCTCCAATGCAAATGTTGACAGTGCACACACACAGTTTAGAACCAGAGCCAGTCACGTGGCTCTCAAAGAGCAAAACCCACCCCCGTAACAAGTGTGGAGTATCTAGATTCACAGCCTCGGGTTCCAGAGTCTGTTGCCATATCAACACAGCACAGCTTACCCACTGCTCTGTCTGCTTCAAGGAGGGGCATCTCTGGAGGGCAGAAGCTCTGAAGGTTTTGACCAAGAGCTAAGTCTTAGCAAATAGGTATTCTACCCTCCATCCTACACAACAGACCCACCCAGACCATAAGGGGGGAATGGGAATGGGAATGATTAAATATTGGCTATACTGAACAACTGTGTGCTTGATAAAAAATGCCACCCTTCTTTCATGTTTATTCTTCCACCCTGCTTTTCCATCCTTTGCCTTTTTTGCATTTCTGTGCATCCCGTCTGCGGAATCTCCACCCTCGTCCCAGCTCCCTGCACTGTGCCCAGGGCTTCCCCTTCCCTGTGGGACTCCAGCCACTCTCTTCCCACGCAAGCTCTCCTTGGCCCTTCTCCCTTCCAGCTGCCCACTCCACCCCAGGGTGCGCTTCTGTTCTCTCCTACCAACAACTTTACTTACTTTCTTCTACCAGTTCCTCTTTGAGTAGTCCTTTTCCAGAAGCTTCTCTACTCTCATCCTCACTCCCTGCCTTTGGCATTCTGTTCTTTTCTCTCATATCCTTTGTCTCCTTCTTTTGTTCCTTTAAACTTTCCCTGTCACGTCCATGCAGACAAGGTTGGCCAATGACAAGAGGGCAGCCAGTGACATTCATGGCTTGCTCTACCTCAGACACATCCAGCCACGGACGGGAGAGGGGCAAAACCCACCTGGAGATTGGGAATCTGTCTTGGATGTGGGAGGGTGACATGTTAGACTCTGAAATACGTACTCTTATCTGAATGGCACGTGTGACCACCAGGGTTCCATAAACACTGAGATTCTCAAATGCATAGACTGTACCCATGTTTCTTGTCACAGATACCAGTATAGACATATGGATGAATGAATGAATGAATGAACCTTGGCAGAGCGGCTCACGGCATCCTGTGACTGAAGAACCAGATTGGCCTGAGCTTTTGATGCCCGCTCAGGTGTTCAGAATCCCCAGGGCTGTGTCCTTGAGTGCGCACATCATGTACGGGCTGGTGAAATGCCAGCCCAAAACAGATTTTTGCTAAGACTTACCTCAATTAGATATACTTCCTAGGAGGGCCATGCCATTGACCCATTGCCCAGGGAACTTGCAGACTACTGGAGCCAACCCCGCACCAGGTCTCATGGCCAGTAAGACTGTCATCAGTCCTAATCATGCTCCCTTTGGTTTGGATCTCTTGTAGCACCAAGGGGTGGAGGGTACCTTCAGAGGTCAAGAAAATGGACTGGCATGGCAGGCACATGCCCGCCAGAGGACTTTGTCAAATGGCCAAGGCATTCCCATCAATGCCAGGTGTCAGCATACTGCAGGGATGCACCGAGATACACGGCTGCCAGTGAAAAGAAGATGCCCTCTGACTTGCCACCATGAGCAGTCAAAACGAAACTTGTCTTGGATTAGGCTGTTTTCGTGTCAGGAGAAACACAGTGTAGCTGCTGACTTCATTGTGCCCCCTCACCATCCTAAGGCAATTCAAAAAGAGTTTTCGGGTTGTATGCAAATAATTTTATTTCTAAATGAATACTGTTTTAGGGTAGGATTTGGGAGAACTTAAGCCACAGTATATTTTCCCCAAAATAAAAGTTATAGGCTACAAAGATGATGCATTCTGCTGCATAATATTCTTTTTAAAAACCAATGGTAAACTATATTCTGACTTTTATGTCAATTAGGCAGATAACATGCAGACTTATTTAATATTCACTAAAAATGACTACCTATGATAGATTTTTAGATTTTTTTCCTACTGCATGCATCTTTTGATTACATCAAGAGAAGAAGTTTTCTACCTTTGCAAACAGAGTTCCCCCTTTGAGTAGTGCCCTCAGAAGCTCTAAATTATGGAGGAAACATGCTTATGTCTCTGAAAATGGAAAGTTTGAAATACTGAAAACATGGAGGAGAATGTTTGTGATAAGGATTTTTAAAGAAACTCCTAACAGACAAAAACTAAAGAGCGGTTAGTTTAATATAATGCTGTCCTGAGAACAATTACATCTCACAGAGGGCAGTGGTGATTATGCTTCGGTTAGTCATGCAGATTCTTAAAATAAAAATGAAATAAAAACATACATCACAAGAACTTATATTTGCAGTGACATAAAGGGGGGGAAGAGGTGATTAAAATGACAGAACAAAGCATGCACAAGTTAAGCACCTTGATGCTAAACTGCCACTGTCAGCTGATGAGGAGGACATATCCATGCTGAGCATTTTACGGAGCCTAGGCCGAGCACGCTCGCTTGTTTTAGGAATTTCTTGTCCATCTAAATCATCAAGGGTGGACTGCCTTGAGAACAGCATGGTTGCTTCAGTGTAGCAGCTAGCAGCGCAAACAGTTACAGAAACACAGTGTTAAAACACCAAGTTGTACACAGGTTACACACGGATCAACTGACCAACACACTGCCATGCAGCAAACCACACATGACACCAACACCACCGACAAGGAAGGCCACCGCAGCGGGGCTCAGGGATGGGGATGGACCTGTGTGCAGGACCTTGAAACACACGAGTACTGGATTTTAAAAAACATATTGGCTAGTGACACATTACAAAATGGCACTCTCTGGGTGGGACTAAGAAACAGAAAAATGACAAGTCCCAATATTTTTCTCACAATGTATAATTTATGTAATTATAACTTCGTAACAGAGGGTTTCTTTTAAATGAAAGAAAATATGCTTTATTTGGAGCTTGCAGTCCTGAGTTAAGAGCATTTATTAACCAACTTGCTTGAACAGAAATAACTGCTCATGTAGAATTTACATAAAATATTTCAATCTTTTTTTTCTTTTTAACACGGTCTTCAGAATTAGAGAGGGGAAACTCAGGAATGACAACAAACTGAATTTTGCACCCCATTTTTGGAGTGATATTCAGTTAAGCCAAATGAGATGCTCTGCATGTAGTCGGGATGCTGGTTTAATATGCAGTGGATATAAACCAACATCAGAAATAAAATAAAAGGCTGTAAAGGAAAGAACAAAGGAACTTGAGCAATGGCAGAGTCATTTTGTCTGTTAACTTTTCATTTTGCCTAATTTTTCTTCTGGATCATGTTTTAGGGCTTGTTGGATGCCATGATGAAGAGAACCCACTGCCTAAAGCCCTCATCTCCTGGTACCCAAAGGAGCAGTGACTGGCGAGGGAAGATGGCAGATCCAGGCCTAGGATGCTGCTGGGTGAGGATGCTCATGAGAGGAGGCACACAGAGGTGTGACACACGCATAGTTTCAGTTCCCACACATGGCTCAACCCCAAAGAGGGACAGACAGCCCAAAGATCCTCTACAGAAAGCAACTGGAATACTTATCTTCCAACTTGTGTGCTCATGGGCTGGCTGACCCAGGGAACAGAAACAGATCTTTAGAGATATAGGTTGCCTGATTTCCAGGCTGAACGTGGTAGGCTGAACTCTGTCATCAAGTGAACTCACTAGGAGAGTACTAGGTGCCTGGCCTGCACAGCCATACACTGTTGGCCAAGGATCCTGAGGCAGAGATGGAAGACTTTCAGGATGCAATGACCACTGCAAGCCTGGGAGGAGCGAATTTGAGTTATTCACTCATGGAACCTGTTAAAAGAGTTTTTCAGGTCCCATGTGCTGGAGCACAAGCCATAACTGCTCCAGTGGGGCCGGCCATGCTGCTGTGCATGTTACAGCTATGTGACCAAGACAGGGGCAGCCAGTGAGGGCGATAAGCCTGTGAGCAACCAAAATACTCTCTAATAAGGACATTGAGGCTGTTTTGTTTTGTTTTGCCCTAACTCTTTTAGATGTCACAATGTCACCATGGCCTGGACAAAATGAGGAGACAATGACAAGATAAATTAGAAAAGCATTGGACGAACACAGTGAGGACTGGGATGCTGACATTAACTGGCTGTTGGGTTTTAGATGAATCAGTGCCCCTTTCTGGGGCCCCAATTTTATGTTTCTGAGATGAGGGGACTTCGCATTTCTGTATTTCATTTAATATTTGCAGAGATGCAACCCCATAGCCTGTGCAGTCTCCTGCAGCTTTGCTCAGGTTTTCTTCATGGGAACCGATGGTTCTAATTCAAAAGCCCTGTTTATCTTGTTAACTCTTGGATGGAGTTCTCAGAACCCACATAATCCCACACAGTTGGGTTCCCGGTAGGGCAACTAATACATCACACAATCCAGGACAGTTTAAAAGTGAATAGGAAGGGGAGGAAATGTATAAAAATAGGCCCCGACAGTAGGCCCAAGGGGACGGCTGCCATCACCTGCCTGACGGGCCCCCCCACTGCCAGCACCACAGGAACACACAGCAACCCCTCAGAGGACATATTTAAAATATTAACCACCTCCTACCTGGGAATGCCCCTCAGAATGTTAATTAATGTTTTCTGTGTTATCTGATTATATAAAGCAACCATTAAAAAATTTTTGCCATTTTACATCTGGATTTGAAAGAAACCGTGACTATTCTCGTAAGTCAAAGGGACTACAAATCCACTTGTTAGGATCCCACCCAGACTCTGTCTACTGTCTGCTTAAAGGTAAAATTCATGCCACTGGCCTCGGAGCAGGGGCCATGAAGGGCACTGGCCACACTGGGTGAGCATGACCTCACTGGGGAGTGGCAGCCTCCTGGCCACCAGACCCTTCCCAATGACTTCCACTGCAGAACCTCTTCTAGGGAGGGTTACTACCTTTCCAGCAATCAGCATGGCTCCCTGGAGACTACAGTGTAGACAAATGATGATTTGGAAATTAGAAATACAGCTCACTGCAGAAAAGGGCAAGTGAGGTAACTCCTTTACTGGCAACAAGATAGGCCCTATTCTGTCTCCCCTTTCTTTAGGTTGAAAAACAAAATAAAAATACATTAAAACCTAATTCTAAAGGTGCTGGTTTCCTACTAGTTATTGTATTTACTGACTGACCATTTTAAAACTGGGGGGATATTTTGACAGTCTTTGTCAAAAAGCAATCGATGAATTTAAATATCTCTTAACTCACAATTTTTTATCATGAGTGTGGTTTCCTATTTGCAATCTTAGGTCAGATTTAAAGGCAGTTACTTGAGTTTATTTTAACCAGTTGTTTTTCCTCCTTAATTGTGATTTATAATATTTAATTTCTTCATGGGGCATACTGTTCATTGTTATGTAGTTAAAAGTCATAAAGATGGGATTCACCTATGTTTATTTTATGAAAAATTTATTTTCAATTCACCTTTGAATATTCTCTGAGGCCACTGATTCAGAGTTTGGTTCTAGAGCATCTTTTTTCAAGCCAGGCTCATGTGTGATACTCAGGAGGCCTATAAAACCCTTGAGATTGTATGAAAAAAATTGTATCTTTGTATGATTTTTCCCTGTGGGAGACTATATGGCTTCATGAAATTTCAAAAGAGGTTCATTAAAAAATGTCACCAATTACTGTTAATGTCATCACAAATTAATGAAGAAAGGCAATTCTATTCATTACCCATTTCGCTTGCCACACTTGGGGATTCAGGTAACAAAAAAAAATCTCTGTATTACAAAATGAAGCAAGAAGGGAGGTTAAAAAAAGGCATTTGAAAAATTTTACAAATCACATGATGGGGCAGCATATTTTCTCGAAGAAAGATGCAAAGGTGCAATATTCAAACTCAATACTACGCATGTACGTGATCGTATTCTTCACCGCGCAGGAGGAAACGATTCCAGTTGAATATGATCATGACTTTTGGTTAAGTTCACTAGAGCTGTCTGAGCCTTTTATTTTAGAATTTAAAAGTAATAAAGACATAGTTTGGATCCGACCCAGTCCATATTGGATATATACAGAGCAGTACAGTCCAAAGCTGAGAGCAGTGGGATGCGTGTGAATGTTACACAAAAATAAATGAACAAACAAATAAAAGAAACATCATTTGGGACATTTACGTGTAGAGAATCTCAGCATTTCTTTCATCCTATCATTCTCTTGGTTTTTGAAAAAGGGTTGTTTGATCATGAATAGTTCCTACAGCGGGTAGATTTAGAAATGTTTAGATTCCCCAATATCCCTTCGTTCACCCTGTAACTAGGAAGCAGCACCAGTCAGCATCTCGAGTGCTCACCACATTCAGACAAGTCTTGGCTCCCCACCCACCCTGCTGCACAAACCTGCAGGCTTTCACAGACTTGCCCATGCAGGGTCCCTCTAGGATTAAGGGAGGACCTAGCTGGACTACTTAAGAGCTTAGGTAACATGGAGCTAGACACGGATTTTAAGTTTTAGCGTTAAAATGAATTAAGTATATTGAATTAAATTAAAGAGAGAATGATTCAGTTTAAATACAATGATCAATAGATAGGGAGACGATTGTTGCAATAAGAATGAATTTAATACATCTGGAAGCTTCTAAATAGAACAGTTATAATAGCTTTCAAAAAGTAAAAATAAAATTCAAAATAAAGAATGACTTTTTGTCTGAATGGAATCTGTCAAAGAAGAAGACAGAAGCTCCCCTTTCAAAATGTTGATTGTGGGAGGTTTTCAGGAAGACACAGTGACGCTCTGGTAACACTCACCAGTGGAAGGATATGATATTAAATGTTCTCTTTGTAACTTTGATATTACTAATGGTTTCAGAAATTAATAATTGAGAAATGTGCATATTCTTGGGTAGAAAGACACTGAAAAAGAAAGTTTTATGATGACACAGTTTTCCAATAATCAGTCATTTTATTCTATGAATTAAAACTTTAAACCAAATCTCAATTAGGAAATACATGTTTGACCTTGAAATCATAACGAGTTTCTGTCCTAAATGTTTCTTCTTTCCATAAAAATATACAATAATAGATGAAATATCTGTGTCTTTGGAACTCATAAATAAGCAAAGATTATTAACCAATTAAAAGAAAAATATAGTCTCTTTTATTATCCCTCAAAAGACTTTAAAAGAATCAATACCTATTTTAGGGGAGCAGGCAGGGATACACCCATGCACAGTGTTATCTGCACGAATATTACTTCTAAATCAATCTAGGCATGAATATATATATTTTAAATTAGGCTTAGCATACATCTTATTTTAAAACTTGGATTTTTACTAAATATATGTATATATTTTACTGTGTATATATATCACAAAGATCTTTTCATACCAATAAATATGGATCTGCCTCAATAATAATTATTGGGTAGCAAAATAATTGGCATAATTAGAGAGGCTCAAATACAGGAATGCAGCAACAGTTAATTAGCACTTTAGGGCAAAACTTTTTGGTTTTTTTTTTACCCACATTCCTCACTCAGTTTGTAATTCCAACATCCAGTTGTCTATTTTGGGTTTGATATCAATAAAATGGTCTCAGCTCCGTCTCCTATTTCATCTGGAAATATATCCAGCATTTGTGAAGGACAAATACTTTTCCAGGTCATTAGTGCCTCGCTCTAAAGTGTGACTCTAAAGCCATCCAGGAGTTTCTGACCAGCAGTCAGAGACACCAGTCTCTACTGTCCTCCCCAGGGCAAGCATTTTAGGAGGGAATGGCCTTATCTCAGTTCTTCCTAGGCTCAAACCATTTAGGGGATTACTCTTATCTTTATATGCCTCTCCCAGAATAGAGCCCAGGGCTTGGCACAGAATAGCTGATACTCAACATGTTTAATGAAAAACATAAAACATGAATGTTCTCAGTGATACAATTCTTTACCCATGAAGGTGGCTATAAGGTGTAATTCATTTGGTCTAGCGCTTCACCCTAACAAGGCGATTTTTCCTCCTAAGACAGGGACTTCTGCTTTAATTTAGAATCTAGCTCTGTACAATTGTTATCAGCTATCTAGAACACTGTGATGCAAAGAATTCTGAGGCTTTTCTGGGACAGGCAGTAAGTTGGTCTGCGGTGCAGGAAGAGGCAATGAGAGACAGCATACTAGGGTGGTTGAGAGCTTGGGTTCTGAGCTAAACCACATGATTTTGGATTGCGGGTCCGCTTTTATATACATCCTAGCTGTGTGACTTTGGGTATGTTTCTTAATCTCCCTGTAACCGAATTCTGTCTTTGCAAAACAGGGATAATAATAGCATGCATCTCGTAGGGTCTTAGAGGATAAAATGAGGTAACCCAGGTACAGTGCTTAGTGCTGGCCCCTGGCGAACCCATTAGTACTGTGTCATCTGACAATCCTGTTGTGAAACAATGCATACAATAGTAAACTCAGAGAAGATGGAAGCTAACAGAATACTTTTTGGGAATTTTTATCATAAAACTTAAGGTAACAATTCTGAAGGGAAAGATCAAGGATAGCAACAGAAGTAGAAGACCCTAATGTAGAAGACACTGTGGATCGGCTATCTTGAAAGGCACTAAAGATGTCCCACAAATAATAACTTTGGGGTTGGGAGGGATCATTCTTCCTTGCCTCCAGCCTGGAAATCTCTATACTGTGCCTTTGGGTCACACAGGTATAGCTAATAGTGTCTTATTGATATCTGCTTTTATTTGGTTCCTTCTAGGTGAGGACAATGTTCCTTATAGTTTGTTGTACAGATGGCGACAGCTGGAAGAGGGTGGGGGTCCATGCATGGTTTTGATGAACTTTCACCTCACACATTCATTTCTTATATTTGATGACATCCACCTCATTTACCTTTGTCAAAAGTAAACCCATTGTTAGAAAGTGAAATACCTGGAGATACTGTCATGTGAATCTAAACTATCCATCCTGTGGGCTGTCTGTGCACCTGAAGCAGCTCCGGGATGCTCGTCAATGGTGTCCAGTCCCGACTCTCTGGAAAGGTTCATGATGTGGTTCTGATAGTACATGTGGATGCTCTCCCGAGTTGGAACATTGCCCTGAGGAGAATGAGACATTGCCACAGTTCTTATGGAGGCATCTACCTGTATAGCCACCTGGCATTTCTCAACACAGACAGCTTTTCATACCCATGCATGCCTGGATAAGGATTAGGACCATGCTAGGCAAGTGGGGATTGATGTCGACTCATTTCATAAGTGGTTTCCAACATTACTAGGTAGATCTAAGTAAATGTCTTCTTATAGGTAGATAATTTTGCCAAATCATAGTAACCTTTCAAGATATGAACTATTATTTTAAAATACAGTCTTTAAACCATATATTTTGTTATTCTGCGTATGTCCTACTTTTTATTATAAAAAAGTTTTAGATCAAACTTTCCAGACTTCAGTGATCAGGTGGGAGAAAACAAACACCACTTTCTACACTTTCTAGACTAAAACTATAATTCTCTATTAGATATAGGGATATAGAACAAGGCAAAGTCTGTACACCTGCAAACTGTGGTGAGGGGAGGGATAGGATGAATAAAGTTGCCATTCTGTGACGTGTGTGTGTGTAGGTGCATGTGCATGACATTTAATTATTTTAATTCTTAGTGTGGAATAGATTTAAATATACAGAAAAGCAAAGGGGTTATGCCACAACTGCCTGGAAAGAAAGGGCTTTGTCTTATCCTACCTGGAGTTTTGGACATTGACTTTTAATGTCTTCTTAATGTGGGAAGGAGCAAAAAGAATTACACCAGCAGTGTTACCTTCTTAATTTCTCTGGTCAGCATGCATCGTTCAATTCTCAGAACTGTAGATATATCAATATGCTCCCTTGAAATGGAGTTAAGCCAAGTAGTGAAACTGTCCACTGTTGCCAGAAATAGGACCCAGGTAAATTTCAAAATATTAAATATCCTCTTGATGATATTATCTAGGAGGAAGAAAGGCAACAAGATGTTAAAGGAACAAAATACCATTGATTTTACTTTTGTGTAGCCCAGCGATGTTTTACCAAAGCTGGACCTGGCTCTTGGCCCGTGCATCTAATAAGGCATGTGACTCAGATACTCATGACGCACGGAGGAGAGCTGCCATGCAGGAAGCTTTTGTGGGGCTTTGCACACACGCAGTGGCAGACCAAATCAGGATAGAACTTGTAATCTTTAGTGGAAACAGAAAGCAGGGCGGCTCCCTGTGCAGCTGACCCTTGAACATGGGTTTGGACAGCGTGGATCCACTCTACGCGTGGATTGTTTTCAGTAAAAGTTACTCCAAATGTGCCTGCCTCTTCTGTTTCCCCTTCCACCTTCTCTCCTCCACCTCTGCTGCCTCTGCCACCCCTAATACAGAAAAACCAACCCCTCTTCTTCCTCCTCCTCCTCAACCCACTCAAGGGAAGGACGATGAGGATGAGAGCTTTATGATGGTCCACTTCCATTTACTGAATAGGAACTATATTTTCTTTCTGATTTTCTTCATGACATTTTCTCTAGCTTCCTTATATAATATGTGTATATAGTGACATCTGATGTTCTGTGTGACAATTTCCCACCTGTGCTGTCACTACCCTGGTGACACCCAAACCTCAAAACCATGTCACACCTAACAGTCTTCCATGAGGTACATTTAAGAAGCAAGGAAAAGAGCGGGTATCTTTTGCTGAGCAAGGAGGCACAGGAAGAGAACGGCCGCTGCTTGAAGCTGAATGAAGTGAGTCGCTGTGGCCGCTGAACAGGAGATGCCACGAGCACCTATGTTTCCCTCTCCGCCCCTCCTCACATCCTTTATAAAATCTCAAGCAAGGTATGTATTTCTCACAATCATTCAGATAGAGCCTCTAGCTGCTCTGTGTAGACATAAAGGGGAAGCTTGGCTCTGGAGGATGAAAGGCTTGGAGTTACACCCATCAATGAACTTTAGGAGCTCCTTATATTTTCGACATGTATTTTCTCATACCCACAATTGTTTTCTTAGAAATGATGAAGGTGAACATTATTACGGCGTGGTTTTGCTACAGTGGGCCTGATTGTAAGGCTGCAGCCACCGCACTGGAGACGTGAATCACAGGCGCTTTGTGAACCTGGGTGACGACTCACCAACAGGGAAAGTGAGGACTCGACTTTAACCACAGGGGCAGTAGGGCACAGTGGTTAAGAGCACACACTCTGGATTCAGACTCCTTGGGTTCAAATCCCAACTCTACTCTTTAGTGGTTCTATAGGCTTGGTTAATACAACTAAGAGGTTAAGTCGGTTAATCTCTCTCTGCCTCAGTTCCCTGTTTTGAGAGAGTTAAACAAGTTAATATACTCCAAACTCTCGAAAAAGTGCCTGAGAAACAAGACATGTGATCTGAAGTGTTGGCAGCTGTTACGGTGTGAGGCTTTGCAGCAATAAGAGTGTCCAGGTCCACATATATGTGTGTCCAATGACCTAGAATTGGAAGACTGGGTTTGAGGACTGGCACGGTGGAGGGCATTAGGTGGCCTTCCGTAAGTCTCCTTTCGTGCCAGCAGAGGGGAGGCTTGGAAGCATTTGTGTGGGGACATAAAGAGCCTGACGCCTGGCCTGCTGATAGATAACCACAAAGGCGCTCCAAAGCAGACGAAGAGATAACCGCATAGGCGCTCCAAAGCAGACGAAGAAATGGCATGATTAGAGAGGGCTAGAGAGCATCGAGTTCATTTCATTTGGAGGCTTTGGCCTTTTTTTCTTCCTGCATAAAGATACCTTCCTCCAAATCACATACTATGAGGAGCCCAAATGGCACTGTGGCTGGACTGGCAGTTAGAAGACAAGGGTTCTATCCCTGACTCTCTTACTTATCTGTGGAATCCAGAACAAGTCACCAACTCACTGAGCTTGGTTTTCCCCTCCTAAAATGAAGAGTTTGGCCCTAACCTTCTAGAGTATCACTAATTTTGCCAGTCCTACTTCTCTCTCATTTACCTCCTCCTCTCTGTGTTTTTTAAAAATAATTGCCAGTATTTTTTGTGTGTGCCTTCATTCTGACGGCTTCCATGGGACATTAAGAATTTGCTCCCTAAAAGCCTCTTTCATAGGTGCTTGCATAAAGGAATTTACAAACTGACACTAATTCAACATTTTATCCAACTGCATAAAGTCCAGACCTACTTTTAAGAGTCATTTTGCAATTTCAGTGGAGATGAGATTCCAAGGGATACTGATTATTTACTCATAGTCCAGAAAACAGTGTTCGATTCACAATTTTTCAGGCAGCCTTCCATTATATACGATCTGGGCAGGTATCATTTTCAAAGTTCCCACAGCTCATATTTGTCTTTATTTTGTTACCTGGTCCATCGGATTTCTTTTTGATTGGTTCATCCTCCCGGTCTTCCCATTCCACAGGACCTGCCAAGTGTGTTCAATAAAGATGAGTTAAATTCCATCTAGGGTAAATTAAATGCCAATGTTACTCTTCTAGATTAAAAGGAATTTTGTAATTAACTCTAGGACATTCTATTTCAAGAGTTCCTTGGGGAAAGGTTGTTAGAATTCATAGCTCTTAGATTATTTTACTCCATGCCAGCATAAAAATTATGTAAATCAAGGATGTGTAAACTACATTCGCTGGTGGGTACCGGCCAGTACTCGTGGGCTGACTGTTGCCAAATGGCCTGTGAGTTCAGAATGGCTTTTATATTTCTAATAGTTGAAAAATCTAAAGGAGAATAGTATTTGGTGCATGTGAAAATTATGTGAAATTAACAGTCATGCCCATTTGTCTGTATATTATCTATAGCTGCTTTTGCCCTATAATGGCAGATTTGAGTTGCAACAGAGACTTCATGAATAGTAAACCTTAAAATATTTACTATCAATGCTGGGTGCAGTGGCTCATGCCTGTAGTCCCAGCACTTTGGGAGGTTGAGGAGAGAGGATAGCTTGAGCCCAGGAGTTTGAGACCAGCCTGGGCAACATATAGAAAATCAAAATATTAGCTGGGTGTGGTGGTGCGCACCTGTAGTCCCAGCTATTTGGGAGGCTGAGGGTGGGAGGATTGCTTGAACCTGGGAGCCGTGATTGTGCCACTGCGCTCCAGCCTGGGCAAAAGAGTGAGACCTTGTCTAAAATAAATAAATAAATAAATAAATAAATAAATAAATAAATAAATAAATTTGCTATGAGGTTCTTTATAGAAAATGGTTGTCATATCTTAAAATGACATTATAGGATTTCATTTCATTTCATAGCCTCTTATTTAAGGCTAAAAAGGTCAGATCTAGCAAATGAAAGTGCAAGATAACCAGTTAAATTTGAATGTAAGATAAACAAGAAATTTTAAATTTAAGAACATTTAAAAATATATTTAGGAGAGATAAGTGCAGATTCCTTACAAGCACATATTGTGTCATGGTAAAGTCTGGGATTCTGGTGTACTCATCACCAAATGGCAAACATTGTACCCAACAGGTAATTTTTCAACCCTCAATCCCCCTGTCCCCAACTCTCCCGCATTTGATAATCTCCAGTGTCTATGACTGCCCTCCGTATGCCCATGTGCACCCATTGCTTAGCTCCCACTGATAAGTGAGAACATGAGATATTTGACTTTCTGCATTCAGTTAGGATAATGGCCTCCAGTTCCATCCATGTTGCTGCAGAAGACATGATTTCATTCATTTTTATGGCACAGTAGTATTCCATGACATATACATATATATCATTTTATTTATCCAGTCCTCCGTTCATCAACGGACACTTAGGTTGATTACATATTTATGCTATTGTGAATAGTGCTACAATAAACATGTGAGTGCAGGTACCTTTTTAATATAATGATTTTCTTCCCTTTGAATATATATGTAGTAGTGGGACTGCTGGATTGAAGGGTAGTTCTATGTTTAGTTCTTTAAGAAATCTTCATTTTTTTTGAGGTTTTAATTTTATTTATTTGGGTACCAGTGATTGATTCCAAATAAACCTTTTTACAAAAAGGATATAAGGTGGTTTAGGGTTACATATGAAATATAGAAGGATAACAGGTAGATGAGAAAGTAAAATGAAAAAATCAGGTTAGGAGACACAAAATAGACCCAGGGATGAGGCTAGAACATTTATAATTTGGTGTTGATGCTGTCATCTGATAGAGGATGTTGTCATACTGTTGCTCTGAGGAAGTACATCTTGAGAATTTTCAAATAATGACGTGAAGTTTGAGGTAGGTATCTTAAATCTTCATATTTTTAAAGTATAAGTATGTTCCATGAAATATGTCCAGATTATACTTAAGCTAAACATTATTTGTTATGTTAAAAACTCAAACTGGGCTTCATATATAGAGAGAGGATATATATATGTATATATGAATATATGTGTGTGTGTGTATATATATATATATGGAGCCCAGGTAATATAAAGAGAGAATACATATATCATATGTATATTCTCTCTCTCTGTGTGTATATATATATATATAATATATATATCTCATATATATGTCCTATATATATTCTGTGTGTGTGTGTGTGTGTGTGTGTGTGTGTGTGTGTGTGTATGTGTATGTGTATGTATATATATATATATATATATATATATATATATATATATATATATATATATATATTAGAGTCAGGTCTTGCTCTGTTGCCCAGGTTGGAGTGCAATGGTGTGATCATAGCTCACTGCAGCCTTGACCTCCAGGGCCCAAGTGATCCTCCCTCCTCAGCCTCCCAAGTAGCTAGGACAAGTGTGCAACACCACACCTGACTATATTAAGAAAAAATCTTTTTAGAGATGTTGCTCGGGCTGGTCTCAAACTCCTGGGCTCAGGTGATCCTTCTACCACAGCGTCCCAAGTTGCTGAGATTACAGGCATAAGCCACAGCTCCTGGCTCAGTTTCCTGCATTTTATCTGGTTACCCTATCTAAGGTTATTCATGATCTGACTCCAAGAATCTTCTCAAACTTATTTTCTGCCATCCTCTTTACTACTGCTGCTCCACATCCGGTCTTGACCAGCTAAGCTGACCTGCTCTTTATTTTTTATGCATGGGCTTGCTTTCTTCTGCTAGAATGTCAGGCTGTGTACAAATACTCCCTTCTTCATGGAGCATTCCCTGAAGACATACTTGGCTACAAGAAATCCTTTCTCCCTCAGGTCCCACATTAATTTATCTCTACTTTTTAAAATGGAACTTTGCAGTTTTGATATCATTAGGAATTTTTTCCCTATACTTATCTTGCCTACCAGTTACAATGAAAGGCTTTAGAACAAAGAAGTCTAGTAGGAATTTCAGACCCACTACTCACTGAATGGCTGTGTGACCTCCGGCAAGTTGCTTCATTCTCTGGGACCTTATTTGCTCCTCTGTAGAGCAGGGATAATAAAATGACCCTGTGCTGTTGCAAGGATCGAGTTAGTTACTACAGTATACATAAGGCACATATGACAACAGCTGGCACTTCAGAAGAATGGGATCCATGTGCTTCATCTATCTGGAAGACATGACGCCTCGTACCAAGAAAGTGCTGAGTAAAGATTCATTAAAAGAGTATCTTTAAGTTATTGCTGTCTTTGATTGGTAGGTTAAGAGTGCTGCCTGTGCACAATAAATAATCTTTATGACACAGAGCAAGGAGCTATTTTCAAGATGACCAAAGAACAAATTTTTGTTCTGATCCAAACATTCCGGAAGGACAAATGTCTGAGAACAGCAAACACAATTCTGAAAAAAAAAGGTAGTGAGAGGAGTTTGCCTCACTAAAAATTAAAACGAACTCTATAGTTACTAGACTCAACAGTATGTGGCATTGACTCAAAGCGAGACAATACAAGGGAAGATCAAAATACAGAGTCTGAAAACACACCCGAGAAGAAAGAGAGCCTAACACTGACAAATGAGGCATTTAAATCCAGTAGGAAAAGGATGAATCATCTTAATAAACTGGAATAACGTAATTGTCTATCCATCTAAAAGTGAACAAATTAGATCTCCACTTCATAGAATAAAAATTTAAGACGTAGCCAGGTGCGGTGGCTCATGCCTGTAATCCCAGCATTTTGGGAGACCGAGGTGGGAGGATCACAAGATCAGGAGATCTAGACCATCCTGGCCAACATGGTGAAACCCGGTCTCTACGAAAATACAAAAAATTAGCCAAGTGTGGTGGTATGTGCCTGTAATCCGAGCTACTCAGGAGGCTGAGGCAGAATTGCTTGAACTCGGGAGACGGAGGTTGCAATGAGCTGATTTTGTGCAACTTCACTCAAGCCTGGCAACAGAGCAAGACTCCATCTCAAAAAAAAAAAAAAAAATTAAGATGTAAGTAAAATTAATAGAAAATCTGGGAAACATCTGCATCATATTTGGGAGGAGAGACTTTTTTTTTTTTTTCCTGAGGCAAAGTCTCACTCTGTCACCCAGGCTAGAGTGCAGTGGTGCGGTCTCAGCTCACTGCAACCTCCACCTCCCAAGTTCAAGTGATTCTCCTACTTAAGCCTCCCAAGTAGCTGGGATTACAGGTGCGTGCCACCATGTCCAGATAATTTTTTGTATTTTTAGTAGAGACAGGGTTTCACCATATTGGCCAAGCTGGTCTCGAACTCCTGATCTCGTAATCTGCCCCCTTCGGCCTCCCAAAGTTCTGGGATTACAGGGTGAGCCACCGTGCCCAGCCAAGAGACTTTCTTAAAAGCAAGATGGAAACCTGGAAACTGCAAGGGGAAATTTAGACCCATTTGACACAAGAAAAAAAATAAAAATTGCTTAGACCACATATACCATAACTAAATCAAAATATAAGTCTTGGGTTGGAAAAAATATCTGAAACATACAAAAAAGGGATAATCTCAAATTGCACTGAAATTGGCACACTGGTCTAAAGTTTATGGAAGAAGTCTGAGCTAACGTATTTAAAACCACGAGAGTGGATGAGAACACCTAGCGGGTGAACATAAATGAAGAAGTTTCCATAGACAAGTCCTGGAATATTACAGTGTTAAGAGGTCAGGAAGGTAAGAATGACCAGCAAGGCATGAGAACTGGAGAACTAAGTTCGAGTGTGTTTGGAAAACCAAGTGGACAGCATGTGTCCAGGATGCAGTGATTTTTTTTTTTTTTTTTTTTTTTTTTTGAGACAGAGTTTTGCTCTTGTTGCCCAGGCTGGAGTGCAATGGCATGATCTTGGCTCACCACAACCTCTGCCTTCCGGATTCAAGCGATTCTCCTACCTCAGCCTCCCAAGTAGCTGGGATTACAGGCATGGACCACCACACCCAGTTAATTTTGTATTTTTAGTAGAGATGGGGTTTCTGCATGTTGGTCAGGCTTGTCTCAAACTCCCGACCTCAGGTGATCCGCCCACCTTAGCCTCCCAAAGTGCTGGGATTACAGGCGTGAGCCACCGCGCCTGGCCTCCAGGAGGCAGTGATTAACTGTATTGGGTGCTGATCAATATGAAGGTCATTGCTGGTCATTGGTGACCTTGATCAGATCAATTTGGATGGAGAGCTGGGAATAAAAGGCTAATTGGAGTGGATTTAAGAGAGAACGGGAAAGAAGGAACTGGAGACTGGGTATAGATGACTCGAGGTATGTGCTGCAATAGGAGCAGATGGAGGGAGATGTAGTGGGGCTGTAGCTGGAGGAGGGTGGGTACTAGTGAGGGTTTTGTTTTGTTTTTTAAGATGGAGAAATAACAGCATGTGTTTATGCTGATGGAAAGACTCCAGTAGAGAGGAAGAGATTGATGATGTAGGAGAGAGGAGAAATGCTGGAAGGGAGTTGCTGACCAGACAAGGGAGCTCGGCAGCTGGAGCCTCTCCAGGCAGTCTCTGGGGGGAGACGGGATTGGACTGAGTCCTGGAACAGAGTTGGGGTGAGCGCCCTGTCACTGGCCTTGGATGACCACTCGAAAGATCCCTCAGATAGGGGACAAGGCAGAGATTGGCTTGGATTTGCTGAAGCTTCCCTCTGCTCCCCAAAAGCAGATTCCAATTTGGATTTCAACAGATGGCTCAGAGGAGAGAGGGTATTCTGGGGGGTACTGGCATAAGCATGGGGCCCTCAGACATTCAAATTGACTGAGGAAAAATGGGCAAGAGGATGTGGGTAAAGCCAGGTGGGTGGGCAGGGGTGGCACTGAGAAGATGCCATAGGCAGAAGGCAGCCCCTGAGGCCTTCTCACCTACCTAATCAGCCCAGGCAGCTGTGGCTGCACTGTACCACCTCCCAGATTAAGTGAGTGCTGAGCACAGAGATTAGAATCATGAATAAGGGGCTCAGTCCTTGCCTTCAGGAGCTCAGGCTTAGAGGATTCCAGTAACCACCATCTAGGTGGGTGTTTAAAACTCTTGCTTTCCGCTGGACATGGTGGCTCATGCGTTTAATTCCAGCACTTTGGGAGGCTGAGGTGGGAGGATCACTTGAGGCCAGGAGTTGGAGGCTGCAATGAGCTATGATCATTGCACTGCACTCCACCTTGGGTGACAGAGCAAGACCCTGTCTCAAAAAACAAAAACGAAAACAAAAGTGCTTTCTCCTGGCCCAGCATACTTGGGTGAAGTCTGCTGGAGGCAATGCATGCTGCAGCCAATCAGACCCCTGGTAGCAGAGCCTGGGCCCACCAAAGGCAATGCGGAGTACAGGGCCTGCTGGTCCTCTGGTCACACCCACTCATGCTGGTCTCCACATACCCTTCTGTGTCCCCAGAAGTCGACAGTGTGGGGAGTTGGAGTGACCCAGCTGGATGTGACCCCCAAGACAGAATGGTGCTGGACTCGGGGTCTCAGGCGTATGATCAGGCACCCACCAGCCCACCTACCAGTCTGCTGTCCCTGCGTCATAGGCTGAAGCACTCAGACCGAGATGGGCCACCACTGTACCCCTGGTCTCAGTCCCTGGCCTTGCCCGTGGCTCTGGCAGTCCCCCCAGCACTGCAGCCCCAGCCTGAGCAGCAGTCGTTCTCACAGATGCACCTGGGCCACGGCGGCCACATGCGTCGCAGTGAGAGCACCTACTCTGTAAATAGTACTGGCCGGCGGGGGCGTGGCACCCTGGGACAGCCTCCACCTGGACGGCGATGGAACCCAGGTGGGCGCACCCTGCGGCCTGCAGCCTCCCTGCCTCACATTACTAAGACTCAAAGCGATGCAGGCCATAGTGCCAGCAAGAGCCCCTGCATGTTGGTGGCCCTGCGGCCAACCAACGTGGACCGTGAGGGAGACAAGTTCTTTCAGTCGCATTACACCTACAATCCACAGTTCGAGTACCAGGAGCCCATGCCTATGGCTGTGCTGAAGTACTGCGAGGCCTCTGGACAGTTCATCCATCAGGCAGTTGGCATCATTGAGGCTGTTCTGGAGAAGTTTGGAACCTACGAACACTTTGAGGCTGCCACCGGCAGGCAGCTGCTCACCAAGTGCCAGATATGGTCCATTGTGGGTAAATACAGCAGAAGGAGGGCTGCGTCGAAGAGGTTGTGGTGCAGCTGAGTGAAGACCTGCTGTCCCAGGCGGTGATGATGGTGGAGAACAGCCGGCCCACATTGGCGGTCAACCTGACCAGAGCCCGCCAGTACTGGTTGGAGGGCATGCTGTGGCATGAAATAGGTCAGGGTGTGGGTATCCGGGTGGATGGGTAGGCATGAAAGGGGCCTGGGAGCTGGGAGTCGTGGGAAGGAGGGGCCCCACTAACTCCCCCTTTTGTTTCTCCCCTGTCCCTCCTGAGGTCGGGGCTTTCCCTTCCTGAGCAGCCGCCTCCGCCCTCTGGCTCACAGAGGTAGGCCAGAACATGCCTGCCCACGCTCTGGGCTCGCCTTCATCTCTTGGTCCTTTCGGGTATATTTTTCTCTCTCCACTTCCTCTCCGACTTCTCTCCACAGTGGCGGCAGGGCTGGTGAGGCCCTGACAGGCCAGAGGGAGAACGCTCAGGGTCCCACCAGGCCAACCACCACGCGGGCCCTCCAGGGTGGATGGAAGGCCAGATCCTGGGAATGGACTTGGCTTGAGGACACACGGCGCCTGGTTTAGGAGGCGACTGGCCAGGCTGGGCAGGAGGGTGCAGGGCACTAACCACTATTTCTATCTGTCTGTCCCTCTTCATCGAGAATCCTGTTGCTCTGGGCAAGAGGTGGTTTTTACCGAAGGCATCAGCGTGACTGTTCAGAATAATATGGGCACCCAGGATGTTGGGCAGGGTGGTATATGTATTCTTGTGTCCAGGAGGGCTGGGGGCAATGTCAGTTCGGGAGAGTTCGTGCACGTGTGTGGGTGCGTGGGTGTAGGGTGGTGGGGGGATGGGTGGGAGAGGATTCATATATGTGAGCAACTGTGGATCCTTGGGTGCGAGTCCACCGGAGGAGGGGCTTCACGCTGCCTGGGGCTGGAAGAGCTTGTGTGCGAGCCTGTGTTCGGGAGCATGAGAATGGAAGCGTCGCGGCCAGAGCCCCGGCCAGGTGGAGCAGGTGGGTCCCCGAACGCCCCGCCCAGCGCTGCCTCCCTTCGCCTTCCCCGCAGGCACCCACTACCTGCGGGGCGGTAACAACGCGCGCCAGCCGTGGCACAACGCGGAGGGCCGGCTGCGGTACGGGCTACGGCCGGCGAACCCCACGAGGAGGGCCTGGCCACCCTGCACAGCGTGCTGCTCCGCAAGCAGCCGTTCCTGTGGCGCGCTGCGCTGCTCTGCTCTGCTACACCAGCCGCCACGCTGTGCGTCTGTCCTTCCGCCAGCTCTTCCAGGACCTGGCGCGCTACGTGCGGGACGCCGACGTGCGCTGGGAGTACTGCGCGCGCGCCAAGCGCGGCCAGACAGACACCTCGCTGCCAAGTTAATTCAGCAAGGACCAGGTGTACCTGAACGGCATCCTGTGCATTCTGGGACATCGCCAGACCATCGATTTCCCGCTGCTGACCTCACTGGGCAAGGTGTCCTATGAGGATGTGGACCACCTGCGGCCCCATGGGGTGCTGGATAATACCCGGATGCCCCACCTTATGCAGGACTTGGCACGCTACCGGCAGCAGCTGAAGCACATCATGGCCACCAACCGGCTGGATGTGGCGGAGCTGGGTCGCCTGCTGCCCGACTGATGTAGGTTGAGGGCTGCAGACAGAGGCCCTGGACAGAAGCTCCAGATAGGCCCCCAGAACATGAAGCTGTTTGCTCTGTGCTTCCACGGTCTGGGTGTTTCTTGGGGGGTGTTGGGAGGGCAGGAGCATTCCTTGAGAAGGAGTGGCAACATCAAAGGGTTTGTGTCCCTTGCTAGCCTCCCTGGGGCCTGGGGATCTGCAGCAGCATGTCTGGCAAACTGAGTCGCCCTCCTGCCTCCAGCTCTGTGTTGAGCAGAGGGAAGGCATGGGGGCAGGAAGGGAGCTGAGCATTGATGGGGATGAGGGTGGTTTGGGAATAGAAACTTGTTCTTGCATAAGATGGCTTTGGTTGTCCCGGTACTCCAGTCTCTCCCTTCCCTCACCTGTCCCCTTGGTGCTCCTTCAGCATTCGTGCTGTCTGCTTCTCACTGGGTCCTGGTGGGGGTCGGGATCCCTTCTCCTGGGGTGATTGATGGCCTGAGCTTGGGGTACTACCTGGGGTAGTAGAGACCCAGTTGGTCTGGGGTGTGCTTTCCAACATTTTGCCTCTCTCACTGGTCATGTATTTATTCCATATTTATATGATCTACTTCCTGTGGCTGGGAGCAGCAGCTCCTGAAGGTTCCATGGCAGGGAACAAGACACTCCTTCTGGAAGGCACCGATTTTCCTAGCCCCACTCCCATTACACGCACACACACACACACACATACAGAGTGATTCAGGCCTTGTGAATCAAGCCCAAGAGCTCCCTTGGCCCTGTCCCCACTCCCTCCACTGGCCTCTGCTTTTCCTGTCTTTGCCCACACCCTCACAGCTGGTCTCTGGCACAGGCTGGCATAGCCTAGGAGCAGCTGCAGTTGTCCCTGAGGGACAGGCCCTAGAGTTTGGTGGCCCAAGTCCTAAACCCCTCCTGGACCAGGTGAGGTGCAGAGCGCCTTTTGTGTAAGTTACTGGTCAGAATCCTCACTGAGCTCCCAGTCCAGAGGGAAGCCAGACAATTAAAACAGTAATAACAAAAAAAAAAAAGAAAAAAGAAAAAAAGGGATAAGAAGCCTGACATATAAATAGCATGAATTGATAAGAACAAACAACCCGACAGAACGATGCAGGAAAATGCTAAAAGTGTTTAAATCCTAGACTTGAAAAGAAAAAATCGCCAACAAAATGTGAAATAAAAATGCTCAGTTTAATTAGTTAAGAATTCAACTACATTCAAATGAAAATAAAAGCCATTTGTCATCCTTAGAAAGAAAAATGATAAAAACAGGAGTAAAATCCTGTGCGTGAGGCCAAAGGAAATTGGACACTCTTGTCCCTCACATGGAGGAGGGCAAAGTACTAAAACCTTTCCGAAAAATATCTATTAAAGTAAAAACAGGCACACTCTAAATAAGTCATCCCACTTTTGCGAATCTGTTCTGTGGAAAATGCATGTTCTTCCTAACCTTTGCTAAGCATTTAAACACACTCATATATATTATGACGTATAAATGTTTGTGCAGTGATATCTATTATGGCACTGTTCATTGTGGCAAAAATCCGGAAGCAACCTTATGTCCATTAAAGGTGAGAGGATTGAATAAATTATGCATATCTGCACTATGGAATATTTTGAAGCTATTAAAAAAGAATGATATGATTTTATAAATACTTAATTGGAGAAATGTTCATGACATTGGTAATGAAAATGAAAGAGTAATTTGTAAAGCATGAACTTATTGAAAAAAAAAATAGGCCAGCGCAGTGACTCACGCCTGTAATCCCAGCACTTTGGGAGGCCGAGGCGGGCGGATCATGAGGTCAGAAGATCGAGACCATCCTGGCTAACATGGTGAAACCTCGTCTCTACTAAAAGTACAAAAAATTAGCTGGGCATGGTGGCGGGCGCCTGTAGTCCCAGCTACGTGGGAGGCTGAGGCAGAAGAATGGTGTGAACCCGGCAGGCAGAGCTTGCAGTGAGCTGAGATGGCGCCACTGCACTCCAGCCTGGGCGACAGAGCAAGACTCTGTCTCAAAAAAAAAAAAAAAAAAAACAAAAACCAATAAAGGAAACCACCTGCATACGTGTGTGCACATGAGAAATGAAGTGAAAGTGAACACAACATACTGTTAGGATTTGTAACCTTAGAGGACAGGATTTTGAGGTGACTGGGTTGGGGCAGATTATACGTGTACCTCTTTACTGTTTGACCTGTTCCAGCAATTGTGTATTAATTTTGTCTTCTTAAAGCAATAAAGTAAGATAAAGTTACTAGGATGTATCGGGAGAAGAAAGGTCAAAAAGAAGAGACTTTGTAATTAGAGTTCCATTAGAAATTACCTTTTCCTTTTTATTTTTTAATGCCTTTTATATTTCACAAGCCATCTATGGATACATTTCCTTTGTAAAGAAACAAAATACAGGCCGGGCACAGTGGCTCACGCCTGTAATCCCAGCACTTTGGGAGACCAAGGTGGACGGATCACTTGAGGTCAGGAGTTCAAGACCAACCTGCCAACATGGTGAAACTCCGTCTCTACTAAAAATACAAACATTGCTAGGCGTGGTGGTGTGCGCCTATAGTCTCAGCTGCTCAGGAGGCTGAGGCACGAGAATCGCTTGAACCCGGGAGGCTGAGGTTGCAGTGAGCCGAGATCACCCCACTGCACTCCAGCCTGTGTGACACAGCGAGACTCTGTCTCAAAAAAAAAAAAAAAAGAAAAGAAACAAAATACAACAGATGAGGCTTATCTTTAATCATGCCACTTAATCTCCACTTTCTCAAGAAGTAACGACTGTTACTAATGAGTGAATATTCCTCCTGATCTTTCTCTTGCATTCATAAGTTATTATATGCACCCATTAAAAATGCAAAATACTGTCTTGAGGTACTACTCTGACTTCATTTGTTTCATGATTTCATAATGTGCGTGCCATTTGCAGTCTGTTGTTTTTCACTTAATAATGTGTCAGGAATTGTTCTCCATACCAGCTCAAAGCTATCAATCTCATTTTGAAAGAACTGAATAACATTCCATAATATATTAGTAACATAATGTATTTAACTCTTCTTCATATGGGCATTTAGGATGTTTCGAAATTTTTTGTTATTAACAAATAGCATCTGATGAATGCTCTTAGACATGTGTGTTTGTGCACATGTGCAAGTACTGCTATAGAATAAGCCAAACACCTAGGCGTGGGACTGATCTGTACTATGATATGTAACACTTGAGCTTTTAGCAGGTAATGACACACAACTCTTCAAAGTAGACCTACTACTTCACAATACAACTCATGGTATATGTAAGTACTTATCTTCCTACTAGCTCCCAAGCAGTGACATTATCCAATGTTTAGGTTCCTGTCAATCCAATGGGTTAAGAAAACAGTATGTCAGAATATTTCATTTGTATTTCTTGTATTATAGTGAGACTGAGCACCTTTTGGTCATTTTTGTTTTCTGGTCTGTGAATTGTTTTTTCACACGCTCTCATTGATTGAATTGAATTTTTCTTTTCTTGATTTCTAGCAGTTCTTAACATACACAGAATACTCATCTTTAGTCTGATATATACAATAAAATATTGCTCCTGAGTGAATCACCTGCACTTCAACTTCGCTTTTGATTTTTTTATTATAGTTTGAAATATTTTTACCCTTAGAGATGTGTTTATATCATGTTTTCAAATATCTTGGTATAACGCTGAATATATGTTCCTTTTGTTTGCTTGTTTCTGAGTGTTGTTTAAGTGTGCTTTCCCTTTTTTCTTGATTAAATTGCCAAAGTTTCATCTTTCTTATTGGCTATTTATTTATTTTTTAGACGGGGTCTCCCTCTGTCGCCCAGGCTGGAGTGCAGTGGTGCGATCTTGGCTCACTGCAAGCTCCGCCTCCCGGGTTCACGCCGTTCTCCTGCCTCAGCCTCCCGAGTAGCTGGGACTACAGGCGTCCGCTACCACGCCGGGCTAATTTTTTGTATTTTTAGTAGACACGGGGTTTCACCGCGTTAGCCAGGATGGTCTCGATCTCCTGACCTCGTGATCCACTCGCCTTGGCCTCCCAAAGTGCTAGGATTACAGGCATGAGCCACCGCGCCTGGCCTTAGCTTTTTCTAAGAACAATTTTTAACTTGATCAGGTCATGTCCTGTAGTATTTCTTTTTTTTTATTACTTAATATCCATGTAAGAAATAAGTTTTCTTCTACTTTTTTTGGGTTTCATTTGCAACTCTCCTTTTTTCCTACTTAAAAGATTATATATATATATATATATATATATATATATATATATATATCTCCTAACTTTGTGCTTTAATTTATTCCAAGTGTCAGAAATGACCAATTAGGACAAATTAAAACTGTTGGCATTCTTTAGAATTTAAAAATCTTAATCCCTCAGAAGTTTCTGTCCTTTGCAGACAAGGCTGGGGAGCACAGCCTGAAACCTGCCACACCCACCACAGCCACCCCACCCACCACTCACCCTCCTTGGATCCTTTCCGCCTTCGTTTCCGTTCTTCTCTTGCAGACCTTTTTTTCTCTTTGTGTCTTTGTCGGAGTGCTGTTTTAGGATCAGTAATCCAGGCTTGATAAACAAACTGAAGGGAGAAAGTTCAATTATTTTCTGGCCTTTTAATAATTTGAAATAAAAGGGACCTACACCAAGCTTCCTGACTTTTGAAATATTTTTTCCTCCCAACACAAACTAAACATCCCGGGCTATTTTTATTATCATGAGATTCAATTTTTTTTTTTAGAAAAAGACAACAGATGTTGTAGTAATATATTTCATCTGGTATCACAGATATCATGAGATAAACTTTGGGTACACCAAATAAACCATCATTTCTCCCAAGTCCCTACATCTCACCACAATTTGTGATACTTATTACTGATGCTTTTGCACTGTCCACAATAGGTATAAGCTGGAAGTCTCATTCAGTATCAGTACTTTCTCCCATCACAAGTAAACTTTGAGTCAAAAGCAAAATAACATCTTTAGTAGTCTTATTTACTTTGGGAAAATAGTTTTGTGCATTTGATACTCTCCCTTCTGAATAATAGCTATTACCAATGACTTGAGAAAGGGATTTGGAGAATGATTAGTACTTTGCGAGGAAAAAAAATGTGATATTAAGGTTAAGGAGTTATTCCAGAATAGCATTAAAGAAAAACTGTGGGGCTTTTGGTTGCCTTTTGTCATTTTCAGTCAAGAGCTGAAAATAGTTACATTAATATATTATAACTGAGAACCAGGAAAGAGCAATTGTGAAGAGCCCCCATACCAAGAGTCTCCCAAATCATGCAGAAAGAACAAAAAGAAAACCTTGATAGAAAAAGTCAGCCATATAGCAACAAGAAGCCAAGCAGGCATGCCTCTCATGCACCACAAACACACCTGGGTCTCAGGGAAGCTGGGTTTTTCATTATGATGATAAAGTTAAATAAATGTTTTCTGGGAGCTCTTTAAACCCAGATCTGTTCATCTTATTCTATAGTATTTTCAGATTTCTGAAATCTTTGAAAAACACAGCATAAGCAAATCAGTGGCATTGTGAAGTCAGTAGAAAGTAAAGAGAGACTCAACTTTTCCATATATGGAAATGGAAGGGTCATAGGTTACTATAATAGAAAAACTGTTTCTTTTTTTCTCACTGGTAGAAATCTGAATTTCACGAGAAATTAAAACAAATGCAACATCTGTATTATTTCTGAATAACAAATTCCAGGAGGCAAAAAATTATTCTATTTTATGCCAAAAGCATATTTTAAATAATGGGAAGACGAACTGGAATTTTCAGGAGGACTGAATAAAGGAATTTTTAGTAGATGTTTATTGGCTATGTTAATTGGGTGTTAATTGGGAATTCTATCAAGAATATCTTTGAGTTATAGTACATTAATAAGCAACTTGCCTCTGCACAATATTGATTGCTTTAAAATAATCTGATTACTGAACATAAGAAATTTTCAGGTTTAAGAGCAACATATGGTGACATTTCCTTTAAAAAAGTGTTATCACAATATTGCTTTTAGATGATGCACGAATCCCGAAAATAGAAAACAAAAAAGTAATTGAGGATTTGTGAATATGAGGCGCACAAGTTGGAGGAATTCTTTTTCTCTGAAGAAAAAGGAAACTGGGAGGAAAAGGGGAGAGGAAAAGGGATGTGAAGGGTGGAATCGAAGAAGTCTTGTAGAAAGGGTGGGTGCCATTAACATTTTGGTTTATAAAAGGGCACTCCTGGCTCAACAAAGGACCCCTAAAGAAGAAGCATGTCAGTGCTGCCTCACTGCCATGAGAATTGAGGTATGCAAACTGGGGAAAACGGAGAGAGGAGGGAGTCATAGGGTAATTCCTTATTTGTAGGTAAATTATCTTAACTTTGATGTTTTGAAATAGAAACATTTTACAGTTCCAGGAATTATTAAGAGGGTCAGAAAAACGTTGACAATGAAGAGGAGGGGGAAACGTCCCAATCCTTACTGAGTCAAGAAATGGAAGGCTCTTACCAAACTTCCCAATTTTTTTTTTTTTTTTTTTGAGATGGAGTCTTGCTCTGTCATGCAGGCTGGAGAGCAGTGGCGCCATCTCCGCTCACTGCAAGCTCCGCCTCCCAGTTCCTGCCATTCTCCTGCCTCAGCCTCCCGAGTAGCTGGGACTACAGGCGCCTGCCACCACGCCCGGCTAATTTTTTGTATTTTTAGTAGAGACGGGGTTTCACTGTGTTAGCCAGGATGGTCTCGATCTCCTGACCTCGTGATCTGCCCGCCTCGGCCTCCCAAAGTGCTGGGATTACAGGCGTGAGCCACAGCGCCCAGCCAGAACTTCCCAATTCTTACTTTGCACCTGCACCTGTCAGCCAGCTGGATGCGCCTCTCTGGAAAATCAGACACAAGCTCCATGAACCAGGAGTAGAAAAATACATGGAAATTTACATGAAAGACCTTTGAGCTCTCCAAAGAGCTACTACCAGTAGCATGCGTTCCTGACTTTATCTTAAATTTTACCATATATATCAGGGGAATATAGGATTTGTTTTACTAACAACTTATGTGAAAATACACTTATTCTTTAAGACAGGGAGAGCTTTATCAAAGTGGAGATCCTTAACTGAAATTGGTGAAGTTTCATCATCTGTCCTTTGATTCAGGTGTGGTCTAGCACCTTCTTTATGTTGTCTGTAAGATAATTTTTTTGAAAAGAAACTAAGATGGAGGATAATTACATTGTTATATTTCATTTAAATAAATTCTAAAATATGAATTGAGAAAGTCATATGGTAGTCATAGAAAATAAAAGGAAAAGAATTTGGGAGAAGCAGAAATGGTAAATACTACACTAAAAAACAGGATCCTGGCATTTTAAAAGCAGAAGGAACCTGGAGGTGTGGATGGTGCTACTCAAGGCCCAGCCACGGTTGTGCTTCACATGAGAGTTTGAGGGAAATGCACACTGTGAGGTCCCATAGGACCTGCTGAATCAGAACCTGCATTTAAATAAGACCCCAGGGTAAAATGTGAGAAGCACTGGTCTATGTCACTATCGAACTACTCGCTTAACAGGTGAGGGACATACAGAGCAAAGCATTTTAGTGGCTGCCCCTGACTGAGTTCAGGAGAAAGGGCTTTCTATAAAATGTAAGAATAGGAATTCATTATTAATGTTTTTCCGTAACGAAGCGACTACAGCATAGGTAGCTGAATAACTTCAACTGTGCATTAGGTTAATCAACAAATAATTTTTGACAGTGTACTCAAAAGCCCTAGCATGGATCTGTGGGATTGAGGAGCCCGCAGACTGCACTGGGTGGATCAGCCCAGGAAGAAGCTGGCTGTACCGAGTGCAGAAACTGGAAGACGGAGACTGAAAGGGACCCGAATGAGAGACGGAGTAAAAGACATCTTTTATTAGCTTATCCAGAATTTTACCAGCTTTCTGAGAAAAATTATCACCCTTTTTACTCATCAGAACTGATTCATGCAACCAGATGTGACCCTTTTAAAATGAGATGTGACTTAGGCAACACCATGAGAAGGACAGCAAGTATATCTGTATCTGCATTTTCTCTTTCTATTTTTCGATAGTTACTGGTGTCCACTTAAGAGCAAGAGTCAAATAATAAGAACTTCGGCTTCTAAGAACTTGTTTTGGAAAACTTTTTCTAATATTTTACGTTCCTGTAATTCCTTCATGGTACCATCTATAGAACCGAGAAAATGCAGAGATAGGGCAATGAAGGTATATTTCTCTACATTTCTACAGAGCAGAGAGTCACACACTACACATCAGTAAAACATCAAATACCTTTGCAGCTCTGATTAAATACTGAAGAATAGTTTTGGGAAGTTTAATGACAGACTTTGGCAAGGCTAAAATGGCTGATGCAAACTTCCCAATAGCTCTCTACAAAGAAGGACAAAGCAAGAGTAATTAGTAGAAAAAACCAAAAACTAGTAATTTAATATATGATGTCAGCATGAATTTGTCTCTACAGTTACACCAACTAGGTTAAAAGATGCCAGTCACTGAAGCTAGAATAAAATGTGCTCTGCTTGTAAGTTAGGAATAAAGAAAATAGTCAATCATTGCATGTAATCCATCCAACATAGTGAAGATGTTCATGTTCTCTCCTTGGCTGCACGATGAGTGGTGGTTAGAAGAAAACTCTTTCGAATAAAAATAAATGAGTTAAGTCATTAGTATTTGATAAGCCAGCTGCAAACATGCACAAAAACCCGGTCATGAAGAAACAGACACAAGAAGCAATGGGGGAAGAAAGAAAGCATCAGACCAAGGTGTCTCTATGGAGAATTCAGTTTTTCTATGTCACTGGGAAACAAGCATGGATGGGCCCCACCCACTTGAGAAGTCCTGGCCAAAAAACTGACGAAGGCCTTATCACGGGCATATCATGTGGCTTGATGGACATCACTCTATGTGCCTCGTAGGAAAACAAATGGGAAATAACAGCCCTAGTGTGTAGTTAATTGATAAAAGAAACACAGACCAATTTTCATCCCATACATGACTCTAATGACAAAGCCTCATCTTTAACAAGCATTGATTCACATTCACTCAATATGCTACATTAGGCTGGTGAGCTATAGCTGAGAATGGGACAGCAGGTTCTAAAACAGAAAGGTAGCTAAGCTGAAAAAACCAGAACTGTGCCACATATTTTTATTACTAGTTCAATATATTCTCAAATCTTTAGCAATACATATGAAACGGTTTTCAAACTCTGAAGCAACATTTAAATGATCATTTGCTCCACAACAAAGCAAGGATTTTGTTTTCATTATCGCCTTACATTGAATGTAAGTCCATTCAAGCAATCCAATGCAATGCCAGAGAAGTCTTTTTCACTTTGCTTGCAAGAAAAACATTGAGTTCACCCAACGAAGCTTTATTTTTTGTTTATAGTATCAGGAACTGTTTCAGTGCCAGTGAATGAAAACCTGGGCTGTACATGGTTCTTGCTTGATACTAATTACGGTGTTGCTGGGAGCAGGCATCATTACAATTTAATTAGAAATAAAGAATTGCAGATGTAAATCAGAAGCTTCGGGGAGCTATGACATATGAATATTACAGGAGGTGTCTAGGCCTGCAATGAAGGTCCGTCAATAAGAAAAGCTCTTCCAACTAGCAAAGAAATGATTTTCCCCATAATTACCTGGAATGCTGACCTTCGTGGAGGTTCTTCATCTTCCTTCTTTAATTCTTCCTCTTCCTCCTCTTCACTATCCGTTTCAAACAAATAATAATCTCCACTCCTGACCACTAAGCAAAACAAAATATTCACTCATTTCTTGAAAGACATATAAGGAAATTGGGGGCTTATTAATGAAATGTCCCCTAAAGATACACAAATTGTCCATAAGAGAACCACAACGAAAGATGTTGGCAGAGAGGAAAACACACAAGATGAAGAGAACTCATCTTCGGCTAATGCTACGCGGTGTTGGCATATTGGGTCTACAGAGTATGAGGCCTTGTCTTTGCCATGTAAGAGAACTGGCCACTACAGGGTGGATCTGGTATGTTCTCCCTTCTTCATTGTAAAATTTACATAGATGAAGCAGATCAACTCTGCAGCAGCCAGTTTTGTTATCTAGATGACCAAAATAACTGAACACTATCATTTCAAAATTCAGCAATTTTGGTCTTCAGACAAGGCCAAAGTGAGGTGGAGGATTAGGCTTTGTCTGAATGGGCCCAAACCGTTGCAGATAAGCCAATCAGGACGATTCAGGACCAAGGTCAGTGTCACCAATCTCCTCCTTCACTTTACACTGTGCAGACCTGACTTCTCCACATGTAACACAAGGGACAAAACATACATGGCAAGACATTTGAAAAAAAAAAAACAAAAAAACACGCACACACTGCCATGAGGATGAAATGGGCAGGTAACATTGAAAACAACACAACACAACAACAACAATGACAGTAACAACAAAAACACCACCAACAACAGCGCTCTGGCTGCTTCCACGTGTCGTAGCCCTAAGACAGACTGAGAATGGCAGACAGGGTCCATAGGGTTTACAACTGCTAGGCTTCTGGTCAACAAGGAACTCCCCAGCAGCTTTCTGAAATTTGAGGAGCACTCTACTGACCACAAGACACAAAGCACAAACAGTATGGATTGTCTTTGCCTTGTCTGATACTTTCCCTGCAAGAACATAATGCCTGTGTCAAGAGTTGGGAGCAGAGAAAACTACAACGTACAGAGATTTAAGGAAATTTAATAAATTAAATCTTTATCAGTTTGATCATTATTTAAAGTCTACCAGAGAAAAGAGGCCCAACATATACATTTCTGATGCTACAAGCAATGTCCCATCATCGCAGGAAAACATATTTTCAAATTATATTCAGGTTTTCAAATGCTCAGGCATCTTTTGGATGACATATTTTGATCTTAAGTTGTCTTTTGGGCCTATACATTGTAAGGTAATGGAAAACCTTGGCTTGTTTAAAATTAATTGCTTGAATATCACTTCACATGGCCAAAAGTTAAGTAATTTTGCCCACGATTTCAGAAAAATCTGAAGCCTCCATTCATGAAGATACACAGTGGGTGAATTGGGCCTTATATCCTTGAACAGAAGCACTGTCATTCGTTATTTTCATTTTGAAGAAAGAACCAGGCCCAGAGTACTGGGTCCAGGCCTTGGGAAATAAATGCAATACAACACAAGTGAGAATAAGCAAGAACAAACCAAAGTTACAGCATTACATTTGATAGTGAAGAAGACCATTAAAGTAATGCCTTCACATAAGCCGAGAGATTTGCAGGAAAGTGATGTGGACTCTACATCACGTGGTCGTTTGGGAAAACACAGACTATTATAAGATCGAGAATTTTACCCTCATTATAGGTTCCAAAATCAACATTAGCTTAAATTGTATTCAATCATACCTTCGATAACTTTTATTCATATGGACAAGTTCAAAAGGTTTTCATCTCAAGCAGTGGTAACATTGATTTTACCATTAGAAACCACCAATATTTATGTGAGCTAGTGGAATTATCACATAAGAAAAAAGAAAATGTAAAAAAGTCTCTTATTTCCTTATAAAATGTTATTGAAATGAAACTAGGAAAATGACAGAGCACATTTTCATTCATGCCATCTGTTAAATTAGTGAGTAGAAAAGCTCTTACACACGTGTTTGTTAGCTCAGATGGCGAACCTGACTCCAGCCTGTGTCCACATACATATCATGGATGTTGATGTTACTGCTAAATTACTAAGTTGGAAATTAACTTTTTAAATTCCACTACTTTTATCCTCAGAACTTGGCCTTCTGTTTCAGATATTTATCAATAAGATGAAGCTTGGTATTAATTTAGGCAGTACTGAACCAATATTGAAACATAAGGTATTGGAATGGAAGGTATCATTGAACAGCAATAATGCAATCTTGTGTGTGTACATAGGTATGGAAGTAGGAAATCTGTCCCTATACAGACCATGCTAAAATCTTCACTGCTTACTAATAACATCAAGAACATAGCAACATTTTTGTATTGTCAATAGATTTACACATGTGTATCCAACTACACTAATTCTTACACTTGGCTTCTCTAAGAAATAGCTGTTTGAAAGCCCAGTTACTCAAAAGATCAAATTAAGGGCTTCCAACAAAGTACTTCCAGATCTAAAGATAAATTCTGGAACTCATCATAGACACAACAATACAGCACACATTCTTTCCCTTTCATTCTTCATTCACTTGTAAAAAGAAATACATTTTGCAGCAAAAAATTTAACACCACAGTCTGAATATGATTCCAAACTATGAATTACACACATTTCTGCATTATTGCATCATAAGGTTTTGTAACAAGGCACATGTAGTTTAACATCAATCTTCAATAACTTGATATAATGAGGGTGAAATGAACCAGAAAATCTAAAGTCAACAACATTCACAGGAAGTTCTTTATATTATTACAACTTGTAAGATAGTTATCACAGACCATATCCAATTCCTTTGCAAATGCGATTTTTACATGAGGAAAGGAAAGGCAACCACAATGACCGCGGTGGGAATTTACCCCAGGTGAGGTGAAAAAACATTCAATATGACACAATTTTGAAATGGATAGGTCTCTCTAAATTAGCAGAGGCCCTTTAAAAACATAAAGAAAAGCACAGTTTACTTGTGACTTGATAGAAATAGGCATTTGTGCACTGCATTTACCAGATTGTTAGCGTGACTGTCATACCCTGAACAGTAAATAGAAGAGTCACACTGGACTCCGACTGGAATCTTTTGTCTTTGGACTTGGGGAGAAAATTAAATAAAACTCTTTCTAATCTTGTGTTTTTCTTTTTTTGTTGTAATGTTGAAATTCAATATTTGGGATTAAATTTGATTACATCCAGATATACCAAGCAAATTTCAAATATTGCTTTATTAAAAACTAGCTTGCCGATTTAGAAAATTATGTCTTGGGAGAGAGAGGCCAACGTCAGATCTATGTGAAACCAATAATTAGGTATGGGAAGAAGTTCTACTTTATTTGATTTCCTAGTGATTCTAAATATCCTCCTAGTAGATTCACTCCTACAATTGTGTGATGTTATTTGTCTCAGTGATATTCCTTGTCCAGTTAGATTAGCTGCAAGTATGGAGACATCATGTAAAGACTGAAGACGACATTATACGTAACTTGCAAAATAATAATTATTCAATATTCTATGAAATTTAAAGAGGACTGGATTGGAATGGGGCATTCCACTATAATCCCATCGACCTATAGTGATATTTTCTTTGCTAAGCAGAGCAAATATAGCCACTGAGTTCCAGAATTCCTCATTCATCTTTATGATCAGGAGGGAAACACACTGCATTCTATGTGGCTATCAGGATCTGCTTTTAAAAATAGTTTTCTGGTTTTTGCTGTTCATTGGTCGTCTCTGAGCATCAGGTGGCTTGAAGGCTGTGCCACATGTGGGCATTGGAATTTAGAGTGCCTTTTTGAAATTGGGGAGGAGGCGTAGTAAGAAAGTGAGTGCATTTTAAGTTATCCCTCATCTTTCTATTTAATAAATTGCCAAAAATCCTTAAATGCAAATAAAATCAAAGCTGTGGGAATGAGGGGAGGGGAGGCTCACTGGCATCCATGCCTAGTGCCTTACAGAGAAAGGGTCACTGACCCTTTGAATAGAATGATCATCCTTAAATCAGAGTCCAAGGTGGAGCCCAAGCTCATTTTTAGTAAGGGTATTTAGCCATAAAATATGTATGTGAATAGGGCTCTCGACCTCAGAATTGGGCAATATAATATTCAATTCTTCTTCCCTTTCTGAGCCCATAAATTATGCCCTAGAGTCTATAAGCCACGTGTTTGGCTTTCTACAGCCAGCACAAGAATGTCAGAACGTCTGTGCTGATGTCTCTGGAAGAATTGGACCCCGGGCTCAAAGACCCACTGACATTAAAATTTTCCTACACTCCGACCCCCTATCAAGTCACAAGGATCAAACCATGCATGGAACACATGGGTCACGGGAACGCCTGAATTCTGGTCAAGGATATAAGGGTTAGAGTCGATGAGGTTGTAAGGGGATCGAGAAAACCTACTGGAAGCATGATCAACCCAAGGCCGCCACCACTGCTTTTTTTTGCCCTTGGCTTTCTGTTTGTCTGCTTCTCCTAAAATAAAATACGTCCACATATTAATTCGTATAAAGTGAGAAAACAAATTTTGAAAACCACGCTTTAACAACTCAATTGTCAAATCTAGGTAAATTGCAAAAGTATATCAGAGGTCAGGTAAAGGAACTATACTGAATCTGAAAAATATACATGTATTAACAGTCAATTTCACAAGATAAATACTAATTGTTCTTTTAACAGTATGCTACATCTTCACTTTCTTCTTAGTGACTGAGGGCATACAAAGACATATAAAAAAGAAAGGATTATCTGTCAAAAATACATCTCACATTGAATATTCCATTGTATTAACAGAAAGGAAGCATCCCCCAAATTTTACAGAATCATTTACTGGCAAATAATTTGTTAAAGTACATAAATTACAATAAGCAGAATTTTTTCTTGTGATTATTTTAATGCATGGCTGGAAAATATAAATTTCCTGGTCATGAATAGATACTATGCACTGGGAAAATATCATGCATTATTTCTCCCTTCCATTCACATAGAGAAGCATGCAAGCCTCTATAAAAGATCCTTTAAACTTTAATTTGATATAATAAATCCATAATTAGATATAATCAATATATATTTCATGGTAAGTTTCATTTGAGCAGGCAACGATTGAATGATATTTTAGGTACCAATGGTCAGGTGCCACATAAAATACACATACATATTTCATTTCCATATAAAATTTATAGAAATAAAAGATAGCAGTATACTGTATATCGGAAATATATCCCTTAAAGAAACAAATTAAGCGGGCTGGGCTCGGTGGCTCACGCCTGTAATCCCAGCACTTTGGGAGGCCGAGGTGGGCGGATCACGAGGTCAGGAGATCGAGACCATCCGTGCTAACATGGTGAAACCCTGTCTCTACTAAAAATACAAAAAAAATTAGCCGGGCGTGGTGGCGGGCACCTGTAGTCCCAGCTACTCGGGAGGCTGAGGCAGGAGAATGGCGTGAACCCGGGAGGCGGAGCTTGCAGTGAGCCGAGATCTCGCCACTGCACTCCAGCCTGGGGGACAGAGCGAGACTCCGTCTCAAAAACAAAACAAAACAAAACCAAAAAAGAAACAAATTAAACAAAATCCTGCCAATCTACTGCAGAAACAGATGTCTGTGGAACAAAAGCTAGGTTATGTATTTGTTAAAGCTATCTTGCTGAAGAGTGGATACTTGTAAACTAATTGATTTATCAAATACATACTTTATGAAACTAATGAATATATCCATTCACAATGGGAAAATAAAGCTCGCTGAATCAAAAAAGTGTATCGATAATCTTGGCAGAATAAGAAGTAATGTTATTTTACAGCCCTGCTCAATATCATGCTATTATTCAATGTTAAAACTTGAATAAGAGGAAAATGTCTTGACATACTTTCATCATCCTCTTCAGAGAGTTTTTGCATGTCCTGGCCTTCCCCTGGCTCCTGGGTCAAGCTCAGCATCCTCTCCTTACCCTTTTTATATTTCTGTTGCCTGGCCTTGATGCGATCCATCCTATAAAGTAAAATAACATTAGTAATGCCAAGAACATATTCATTGTTCTCATGTGGTCAGTACTTTGGACTTATGCTGTTACGTATATAGCTAAATTCGTGGACAAACTACTTTGGAATACTTGTGAATTGTAAAATGGTTGCTCATTAGCAACAAGGATCTCCTTTCTTTTATATACATATTTGTGTGTGTGTGTGTGTGTGTGTGTGTGTGTATTCCCATGTTATTTGGCACTGCATAGATGCCAGTCTTAATAATATGATCAATAATGATTATGCTAAAGTTAGGTAAGCTATACTTGATGTCCACTCACATCTTGTATCATAGCCAATTTGAACATGGCATATTATGAAATACAAGTCCTTTATTCTCCCAAGTTTTGGATTCTTAAACAAATGGAAAGATTTAGCAAAGAGAATTACAGTAATAGACCTCACTTATGGGAAATTAGGAACATATTCTAAACATGAGTCCAAATTTGTTATTCTTCTAGACCTGATTTGGATAACTAGAAACACCAATAAAAACAGTTGTACCATATTGCATTTACATTATAATTTTTATATATAACTTATGTCTTTATGAAAATAATAATGCTGTGGAATAATCTAATTTATACTAAGAAATATTTCTGCTTGGGAAAAAAAGCTGGGAAATAAGGTCTGAATGAGATAAAACTGCCTTAGCAAACTTACAGAACTTTCCCAGGGGGCAAATGGTGTCTCCATTTGCTTGGGGAAAGTATCTAGGCTTATAATTCCATGGCCATCACCTTTTAAACCTGGTCCCCAAACAGTCCTCAGAGGTTCCATCATTGCTGGAAATTTCACTCTAAGAAGATTATTTTCCATGGAATTCCCAAGTCTCCGGAGTGGAGTCAGTCTACCCCTTGGCCCATCCAGAATGGGATGGTGGGAAAAACCTTAGATGGGATATAAAGAACTCTGGCTTATATTTCTAGTGCTGCCTCTAGTTAGTGTTGACTCTTAAGTCATCTAATACCAGGGTCATCAGTTTCTTTCCAAAGAGACTGGATGATATTATCTAAAACTATGCTTCCAAAGCTGACTCCACATTTACTCCCTTAGATGTAATGAATGCTTATATCAAGTACTTGGCACTGAGCAAGACCTTGTGTCATTCATTAGCTAGTTTAATCTTTACAAAAACCCAGGAAGGCAGAATTGTGAGCCCTAATTTAAAAACAGAAAACTCAAATTTAGAGGACTTAAATGACCTGTTCAAGGTTCTAAAGTAAGTCACTCAGCTAGCAATTGATCCCTGGTCCTCTGCAAGATAGCGCCCACCTCCACCATGCTGGAGCGATCTTTCTGTTAAACTGCTTTCACTTTCAGTCTAGTGGCATGAGCAACTGCCCCCGCACAAGAATAAATAAATAGGAAGTTGTGAAAGTCCATACATATATATTTTTCAGGGGTTTGAGGCTCCCCAACAGTGGAGCACCAGCTGAATGTGGTCACACAATCAGAAGACGGAAGGAGGATGAGCATCAATAGCATCCTTACTGTCGCTTCAGCTGGTCCATGGACTTCTTCTCTTCCTCAATTCTTGCCTTTACAGCTTTTACAATTGTGGCCTGGAAAAGTTCAGCTCCTCTAAAGGGAAAGTGGAAACATGAACAAGTCAATATTCTTGCCATTGTTGTTCCCCTTTTCCTGAAAATTATTACTAAGGGTTAGAAAACATAACATCTCTTAATGGCAGCTGCTTGTAGTTTCCTGGCTGGGAGCAGGAGTCAACAAGGCCCCTTCTAGAAGCCTTTTCCCATTGGGTGAACAGGGCACAGCCTTCCCCCTGGGAGTGAAGGGGCTGCTCACAAGCCCAGTAGTGAAGATCAGTAAAGAGAAAGTGTTTTGTATTCTCCAAGACATTGACACCCACGAGCCTCTTCAAACCTGTCCCACTGAACGTTAGACTTCAGTAAAGCATTCTCACCTGACCTTATTGTAATTATACCAAGAGGAGAAATTTGCAAAAAGGGTACAGTCAGATTCATTTTCTACTCAATTAGCAGAAACTGGGGATTCCTTCAGGGACTATGTGAAGGCCAGTTCCTGCTCCATCTGTGGGACATCTAGTCTCTTGTCCCTGATTCTCTTCTTCCTGTCCTTCCACTCCCTTCTGTTCTTTCTCACTTCTCAGGTCAACCTCAGTGTCTCCATAAATCTCCTCAACCTTCTTCACATTCTCAACTCTGTCACACTGTTACATGCTTCACAAATCCCAAATCTGCAGGAACCTGACAGTGTGCCCGCCCTGTCCTGAGAGGGGCTGTTGGCAGCTGCTGGAAAAAACACCTGCTTGGGCAGATGGTTCTCTGCAGAGCCCCCGCCTCCTTGGAAAGTCTTGTGCTTCTCTACAGTGGCTGTTTCAAACTCTGCTACGCTTTTCTCAAGTCTTGAAGTCTGTGGAGTGGTTTTTCACTCCTAGTAAATGACCTAGCTTCCTGCTTCCCAGAGGGAACACAAATCTTAAGGCAGTAAGTTGCTCAGTTTCCTGCACCATCCCTCCCACAGGCGTCTTGCCCTGCAGGGACAGTGGAAGAGGTACCCTTTGTCTGACTAGGCCTGCCTTGTGCTCCAGGTCCCTTCCCCACCCATAGCCTGGGGGACACGAAATTCCTGCTTCTTCCTCTCTTCTTGCATTTCCAATCTTTCCATCAGTACCGAATTCTGTCCATTAACATGCAAATATGCTCAAGTCTTGCTAACCTTAAAAAAACGAAAAAGAAAACCGACACACGACCACATCCCACATTTTCCTATGTAGGTACTTACATCACTCCCCCTTCACAGTCAGATGTCTTGCGGTCATGTCTCTAAGCCTTTACAACTCCCACCTCTGCTTGTTGCTGTCTGGCTTTGACCCCACTGTCAAGGTCACCGATTTCAATGTTCAGTTGTTATTTTTGTCCTTATATAACCTATGTGATGGACTTCCACTTGGAAAGAATCTTCCTCAGGCTCCTAAGGCAACGTGCTCTCCTAGTTTTCCTTTTTTCTTTGTGGCTCAGGCTGCTCGGTCTTTTTTACAACCTCTTTCTTTGCCATCTCTCAAACCTGAATGTTCTCCAAGGTTCTCTTCTCATTTCTCACACCCCCTCTCAGCAGCTGCAACTCACCTCCTTCAATACTATCTGTGTGATGATGGCACTCCATCTCCTCACTTCTCCAGGCCTGTCCATGCAGCTGCCCACTGGAATTCCCAACTGGCTGAGTTTCATGTGCCCATGAGACCTACAACTCCACAACTGCGGTCAGTCTTCCCTCCCTGTTTGAGTTCCTATATTTGGGACTGGCACCACCGTTTGGCTAAGCCAGAATCCTGGGCACATCACCCTCTATGCTTCCCTTTCTATCACTGTCTCCCTTCCTTCCAAGCAGTTTTCCAGCTGTGCCTATTTTGCCTCTGGAATATCTTTCTCAGTGATCCTATCCTGGTCTAGCTGCTATCTCTACCCTGGATTATCATAGCAGCTGCTTAGCTGTCTCTCTGCCTACAGCGCTGCCTATACCCATCTATTCTCCATACCACAAACAGAGTGAGCTTCCTGAAATGCAAACACGTCATATTACTTGCTTGTTTAAACACTGCAAGGCCTTCCTAAGACTGTGGGAGTATTTCTAAAGACATATCTGGGCTGATAGCCCCCTGAGGACCTGGCCTCTCCTGGCCTGGAGCTTATCACTCACCACTCACTGTCCTCATCTTCCAATCTCAGCGCTGCAGTCACTGTGAGCTTCTGATGGCTACTTCCCTCCGTAGTTTCACTGGGCTGCTTCCCCTGCCTTCTCCTCTGACTAACTCCTCTTCATCCTTCAGCCTGCACTGGGAATGGAAGGCCACCTGGTTCACGCCCCTGCAGCTGGTTATATTCCCTTGATGTGACCTCATGGCTCCCGGAGTGTCTCCTACCATCACACCTGCTGTCGTCTGAATGTCTGCATCCCCTACAATTCACATGTGGAAATCCTGACTCCCAAGGTGACGGACAGGAGGTAAGGCCTTTTGGAGTAGATTGAGTGGGAAAGCAGAGCCCTCATGAATGGGATTACTATCTTTATAAAAGAAGCCCAAGGGGGGTCTCTTGCCCCTTCCACCAAAATAGGATGCAGTGGGAAGATGGCCATCTATGAGGAAGTGGGCCCTCGGCCGACACTGAATCTGCTCGAACCTTGATGTTGGACTTTCCAGCCTGTGGAACTGTAAGAATTGAGTGTATACTGTTTATAGACCACCTACTTTATGGTATTTTTGTTATGTCCGCCCAAATGGACTGAGACGATACCAGGTGTACTGTAGTAGAATTGCTTGCTCATGTGCCACTTTCCTGCTACTCTGTGAGCTCTGTGAGGGCAGAGGTGAACATCACCTCTTTGTAACAGAGTTGGCAGTGAAAAAATGAATGAATGAATGTGAATTCTTTGAACACACTATTATGAGTTCATTGCTTATTGATCAACTCACGGCTTTTCTTCAATAGGCATGAACTGTACTCTGAACCACTGTCATCATTCTTACTATAACATGATGGGCATGATTTCTAAATCATTGTGACAACTTTGGGAAAAAGACACCGGGGAACATTCTCGTTTGAGAGATGGGCAAAGAAAGAGGTTGCAAAAAAGACCTAGAAGCCTGAACCACAAAGGAAAAAGGGAAATTAGGAGAGCACATTGCCTTAGCAGCCTGAGGAAGATTGTTTTCAAGCGGAAGTCATCAGATAGGTTATATAAGGACCTCTACAGACCAAATGTTTTGGGAAAGGCAAACAAGATGCATTTACCTGCAAAAATACCAGCTGTTTATATACAAGTAAGTAAGGTTACTATTGGAATGAAACATTGTATTCTGCTCTGAAAATAATGTCCTGGGTATTAGAAAATGATTATAACAATGAATTCCGGAGCAGTGCGGTACATAAAGTCATTGTCATCCACGGAATGAGGGCTGGGTGTGCCACAAGGCTCTTCTGACTAACTGCAGGTCCCCGACTAGGGCCTCTTTCTATTTGACTCCAAGTTAGGTAACAGAGGCTGACAACTGCCATCATATAAATGGACCTTGGAAATAAACATTGTGTTTATCATGGCAGGGAAAGAGAACAGACTCTAGCGAAACTGTAGGTAAACACAGATATATTAGTCTGAACTTCGAGTCAAATGATAGATATTGCTAATTTCATGTAATAGAACCCAGTATCCATCAGCTTATTCACACCAAGCATCTGATGGGACCTAGGCAAGGTCTGAGTTTCTGAGAGGAACATACACAGCAGCTGGGGGCCACAGAGCTAGTCATCGACACCCACCCCCACCTCAGGGCACTTCACTTTATTACCTCTCCCCAGTCTTTTTTCCTAAACTTACAAGAGCAGGGGCAAAAACTGGAAGAAGAATGGAGCCTAGGGGAAAAAACAGGTAGTAATGCAAATTGTGTCAGTGGCTCAGAGAAGAAAAGCAGGTTAGTAGGGGGAGGTAGGTGTAAGATGGACTAAACTCCAGACCAACGTGGCATATGTTGCTGTTTTGTCTGAGACCAGACTGAGCCACTTCTAGAGAAGTGGTGGATTCTGCAAGGGCTTCAATTGACCAGTGAACCTCTGGCCTTCCATGGCACCCCCATTCCTTGAGAAGTCTGATGGTTACATAGGCTTTCCTGTTACTATTCTATTTTACAGGCCTTGTGCTAAATTCTTCTTGGATTGGTTTTGCTGGAAGGGATTTCTTAACTTCTTGTGGGTTCTAGAAGCAAGCTCAGACAGAAATGATAGTGCAATATTATTTCAGGCAAGTTTCCTGGGAGAAACCACCTGATTTCATGGCCTGACCCACCTTGATGCCAGAATCTGGGAAGCTTTTATATCAGCCACAACATGTAGAAAATAATAACTCATGAAAACTCTTCTTTGCAGCAGGAGGAAGGCAAAACATATGCTGTCCCAAATGATTCCTGCTTCCCCACTGGGAAGTGTACAGGGTGAATTAGCAGCAGCTATAGTAACAGTAGAAAAACACACATTAAAATTAACATCCATTTTCATTGTAATTTTATAAAATCTGAGGTATGGTCAGGCTTGGGAAATATAGGCATAAAAGCAGCATTCTGATGCTCTGACTTACTTATGAGTTGATTTATTTACAAGGAGATCACACACTTCCAATCCAATATCAACACTGATTCATAAGGCTGACCATGCATTGAACTCTTCACACTACAAGGCTCAGGAGGGCCCTTTTTACGTGGGAGGCCTCTTGAGTATTTCTCTCTCTTAGGAAGAAAGGGACCTCCAACAAAGGCCACAGAGAAATAATGTCCCAGTGCCAGTGGAAATGCTCTTATACAAAAGAAAACACCCATTCTGGGAATGGGCTATACCCAGGGGTAACCAGCAGAATAATGAGCACAGCATGGCTTATTAGAAGGAGTATCAATAGTATGCCTTATCTTAAGTGAAAAACAACGTCCCAGTGAGGCTTCGGCAAAATATAGCCTGAAATAGAAATCACATAATAAAAAAAAAATTAATCTTTTTAAAAAAGACTGGGTGTGGTGGTTCATGCTTGTAATCCCAGCACTTTGAGAGACTGAGGCAGGAGGATTGCTTGAGGCCAGGAGTTCAAGACCAACCTGGGCAACATCTCTACAAAAAATTAAAAAATTAGCCAGGCATAGTGGTGCAGCTACTCAGGAGGCAGCTACTGTGGTCCCAGCTACTCAGGAGGCAGAAGTGGGAGGATTGCTGGAGCCTAGGAGTTCAAGGTTACAGTGAGCTATGATTGTGCCACTGTAGTTCAGCCTGGGTAACAGAGACCCTGTCTTGAAATATTTTTTTAAAAATAGATAAATAAATAATAATAAATAAATAGAGAGAGCACTGTGTCCAAGTAGCACCCATTCTGGGTGCCATGGTAGGCCACGTGTGATGTCGTCCTTGGTTCTGGTGCAAGAGGCAGGGTGGTGGCAATGACACTTCTGCCTTTGTCTTGGCAGGAGTCTAACTCTAGAAATCCTCATGCTCCTCCCTACTGTTTCCCTAGGCTTGAAGCTCTCTGAGCTTCCTGAGGACAGGAGGAGCCTGAAGTCAGAGTTACTTGATGCCCCAAGACATTAAGTGGAGCAACAGCAGGTTTGAGTGGGCTTCTAGAATCCTTCCTAATCTTGACTCAAAAAGTCCGGGGAGTTACTACAGCACTACATCCAATCTCCAGACCCTGACTCCAAGTCCTCAGCATTTCAGAAGTTTCAAGAAGATGATCAAAGAGGCTTAGCATAAGGCATCTCATGTTATAGACAATAGATTCACAATGTACTACAGTTCTACAGCCTCCATCTGGAGAAAACTGACCCCACTTTTATATCTTTATGTGCTTTGGCCCACTTTTAAAACTAGAACAATACAACTATCCTCCCTCTTCTGCCTTTCTGCCTTCACACTTGCTTTTCATACTTACGCATTTGATAGCCTTTGACTGTGCAGGCCAGGCTGAAAGCCTGGATCAACCAACAACTATTGTGCACCAATGTTCCAATGTATCCACATGCTCCTATCTGAAAAACAAAAGAGGGGGATAATCCTGAAGCTCTGCAGCCAGAAAAAAAAGTGGTGTTTTATGATCCCAACATGTGCAAGAATTCACAAGGTCTCAGTGATAAGGATTCCAGGAGATGCCAATTGTACCTAAAAATTCAGTCACCTTGTGGTAGTGCTTCAGGAGCAATGTAAATTCCTGGGAAAAATTAAACCTAACGAGGAAAGGAAAGGTCTTTCATGTAATGTTTTCTGTACTTGGAAGCACCAGTTTATCAAGAAGAAATCTTGGACGATCATAGAAATAAATCCCAACTCTGTGATAATGAATGGGTGTGCACTGAACCCTAGAACTTGGACTTTGGTAGAGTTATTTTCTTACAAGCCAGACACATATAACCTATGCTCTTCCCTGGAGGTCATCCCAGACCTAAGCTGCAGGGTGTAGTTCTTAGAACAAAACAGAGTATGTGTTTTGAGTCTTGTTTGACCAATTCTCTCGGTAAAGGAGTATTTTTTGTAGATTGGCAGGTGGTTGTCTCATAACAATGAATTTTTTGTTATAGTTAAGTTTAAATCCTGAGTTGGAAAATGTTTAAACAAGTATGAATCATTGCAAGCAAATACATAAATGTGACAGATACATTGTGTGCATTTCCTGGGAACATGTGAGGAAGGAGAATATCATCAGGATTTGCTCCAACAGCAGCAGTTACTCGTTATGGATTCCCCAGCCCTGGGAATATTCCAGTCCTACACCATCATGTCCTGCTTTTGTTCCTGTTTTCCAGGCTAAGAATGCCTTCCCCCTTTGTCTCCCTGCAGACCCTTCAATCTATTTATGAGTCTCTGATGCGTTCAAATGGCATCACCTCCAGGAAGCCTGTTCCCAGCTTATCTAAGCAAGATATTAGGCATCCTTTTGTTTCTCAAAAATGTTGTAATAATTATCATTAACCCATTGCATCATAATTATTTATAAGTAGGTCTAACTTCCTTTTTAGAATGTGAATTCCTTGAGGGCAAAACCTGACAACTGTTTATCTCTAGTTCTTCAATACATCAAATAGTGCTCAGTAAAAAACAGGTCTACAGTACAGGTTTACGGAATGAATGAATGAATGAATGAACTTTGAATCCATACATTTCCCAAGCATGGCTGTGAAATCAGCCTCTGGCAACAGATTCCTCACCATCAGACTGGCTTTAGAATGAACCAGAGTTCTGTTGTCCTGTCTCATGCTCTCTTCAACAACTCTCAATGCTACTCCAAATGTAAATTGATGTCAGAGGGGTAAAAGTGACCAATAAGTCACTTTCACCATCACCTAGAAAATTAACCTTTCAATGGACTTCAGACAAAATAAATTATCCAAATACCTATTCATGGCTACATAAACTTGGCTTTCCAAGACTTCTAGACACAGTGATACACGTGCCCCCCCGAAAATCAAGGAGATATCACAACTGAATTGCCTGGAGAGCTCATCCCTAAGTAGCTAGGAAGGAAGAAGCAGAAGAGATTTCCTCACTGCTCTCTCAGTGCAACAGCAGTTACAGCCTGGGAGACTGAGACGCAGGCACAGGGATAAACCTTAAGTGAGCGCCAGCCAGAGAGCTATTAACTCCTTCAGCTCAGGAGAGGTTGTTGCTTAATTTCCCGCAGCACTAAATCACTGAAATGGTGTCGTTGTGTCCTGATAGGTTGATGTGACTCTGGAATTACTAGTGGGCAGTGTGAGTTGCATGTCATGTTAGGGGAAGAGTTGTGTTCTGAAACATAGCTACTTAAGAGCAGAGCAGCCAAGCTTCGTCGGGGCCTGGTGCGGGTTGTGGGGGGGGAGGGTCCCTCAACCGTACATTGCTCTAGCTGTGTCCTGATCTGAATGTCTATACTCAGAGACAGCCAGACAGAAGGCTGCATTTTCTCTTCTATCTACCCACATCTTCTGAGTACATAAAACATTCTTGCCTATAATAGCCCATTCCACCTCATTCCCTACTCCACCCAGTATCATAGAGAAACATGCTCATTTTATCTCACACTTCTACAGTTCTTTCTAGATAAGAGCGTTGCTTTTTGCCAACATAATACAGCTTTTGAAAAGATTCAGTGGCTCAAATTCAGCTCTTAACAGGGCCACTTCATAACTCATACCAGGAGTGATGACAAATTGTTCCTCAGAAGAGACAGAATTTTAATTAGTAAAAGACATTTTAGAATTTATTCCTATGAACACATATCCTTTAGCCATGTGGCCTTGAAATGGTGAAAATGAGGAAAAAGGACTCTGTTTAACGTGGCAAGACAGAGAGAAATAAATGGTTTTTGAATTCTGAATTTGCAGCATCTTATTGGGGCTTTTAAGAGAGCAACATGACAAGCACTGGGCTTTTAATAACCACTGAGTGGACTGTTTACTCTTACACGAAAACCGCAAATGTGTTATGCAGTGGCAACCACTTACTGACAGGATATTTTTCATCGTAATCACAAAAACGTTGTATGCGATCAGCCAGTCCCAGTAGCGCAGGATGCTCTTGATGGGTTTCAACAGCAAATCGCCCCCAAAGAGCAGGAAGTAGAAACAGGCCACCAGGTACCCCATGCAAAAGATGCTGATCCTGGTGGTCCCAGTGATGAAGATGATGGTGAGCACAAACCAGAAGAGGTAGCTGAAGATGATCACTTTGGACATGTCTAAGTAAGATCTGGAAAACAAAGCCAGTGACAAAAAGACAACAACAACAAAACAAACAAAAGCAAAATCAGGAAAGTCTTTAACAAGGGAAGAAATTCATGCTCTCTGCTGCACCTTGCAAATCAGACTGTGAGCTTTCATTTAATCCTGCTATCTAGGAAACCCTCAAATAGTTAGTAATAGACCAATAGATGAGTTTTGGAAACCGTGTATGCTTCTCGTCACCTTATTCAGGCCAAATTTCTCACAAACAACAACATTTTCTGCCTACCACTTGAGTATTCAAAATTCTCCTTTCTGTTTCTATGGGAGGCATGAATAATTGTATGGCAAAAGAAATTCTAAGATACGGATGCCTTCTGGCTAGTGAAAGAAAAGTTAAGAATGGATGAACTAGAAGTTAAACAAATTTATGTTGAACACAAAGCTTTTATTAGAGGTGGAAATCTTTCCCTACAGATGGGAGGTGATTCTGACCAACTATCCAAAGCCATGGTGGGGCTTTTTTGTTCTTTCCAATACTCTGTTTCTGGAGGTCCTCAGGATGAGTCAGGATTCCCTTTTGGGGGCCACCCATCCCTGCTGCTTTCCTCATGGAAGGTGAGGCCAGCGTTCCGGTGTCAGTCTTGCAACAAGCAGCAGCTCTAGCCTGCGGGTCAATGTCATCTGACAGGAGTCACACCTACAGGCCAAGTCCCAACTGCATTTCTTGATTAGAACTTTTGGTTTTGGGAGTTTTGCTTTGGTGGTTTCTTTTGGCGCATTTGGGAAGAAACATAGGAGAACCAATTCTGGATTAATTCTTTGATTAATGGGTTCTTGTTCTGTAGGATGTTAATAAGTAATTGCTTAATAAAATATGCACTACACTTGAGCTATCTAGCATTATTAGGGGGATGAGTTTAAGTTGTGCCTTGGTACATTTTTCAGATAAGTAAACTTTTACCCTTTATTCTTTTTAAAGTAAAACACTTAAACATTTTTATAACTTTTTTTCTAAAATACATAAAACCCTTCCTTGACTTCATAATGGAGAGTGAATGAAATGTCAGTATCTCCCTGTAACCCTAGATCATCACAAATAAAGGTAGTGATTTGCATGAGCCTAGGGGCCTTCTGAAGTGTGTGTGGTTTGAATTCAGTGGAATTGGGCTGCTAGCATTTTGAGTGTGTGTGCCTGTGAGTGCAGCTTATTCTTTCCATACCTTTCCTTCCTTGCCTACAGCAGTCAATTCCTGCTTTACCAGCTCTGGCCTTCACACCTTGGCACTGAACCCACTTTGGGTCCAGAATTCATAAAACTAAGCTTGTGAAGATAACATGGAAAACATTGATAAATACGCTTCAAAGCGGAGCCTTAAGGATTTCTGAATAGAGAGACTGAACCCTGGTGACAGGTACTGTGGCTAAGGGGCCACCTAACTATCAGGGCTCTGGCCACTTTCCAGAGATCCCAGGGTGCTGCGGAGCTGACCCCTGTTGGAGAGGAAGAGGGGAGCATGGCTGTGCTTCTGACCAGCAAGCATGTGCGCTGGCTTCCTACTTACTGCTGTGGCATTTGACAGGTCAATTCCTGAGTGGGGTCACTTTTCTGGCAGTCCTCATTGAGAAACAGAACAAAAATTTGAAATAACTAAAACAAAAATCAGCTTTAAAAATCAATGGCACACAAAAGCTTTCCATTTGAGTTATGATTTAGGTTTTTCATGAATACATTGAAAATACTTATGTTCCCTTTGCAATAGTAAATATTGGGCTGGACTGATTGTTTTCTTAGCATCCCAGAGAAGAGGTAAAAATGGAAGTCTTACCTTAGATCAGTGCCTAGTCTGGTACTTAATTCACAAATAGAATGGTCAAGTCTGTATAGCATATTGTTTTAAAGCAAATTCACTTCCTGATTTACTCAGTTCATATTGAGCCTCTTATGCTACCAAGAGGCACTTAAGCGCATAAACATTCAGATTTGGGAGCTGGATTGCTTGAGTTCCAATCCCAGTTCTGCTGTTGCCTATGTCTCATCTCGTTGCTGCAGTTTCCTCATCTCTACAACAGGGATAACCGCATGACCTCCTTGGGCTGGGGTAAAAGGGCTCCATGTGTGCAAAGCTTGGAACAGAGCCTGGCGCAAAGGGAGTAGCAGGTGGCTGACAGCTATCTGTATTGGTATATGCATTGGTATATGCCAAGAACTGTAAGTAGGAGGATGGGGACAAATACAAAAGCAAGTTAGACATGATCTTCACCCTAAGGCAACACTTTAGAAGTGGGGATAAGATGGGTTCTTCAGATACCAACACCAGGCAGAAGATGATCCACACCATGTAAACAGGAATCTCTGGAAGATCGGAAGCTGGAGAGAGACTCCATGTGTGGGGTCGGCTGGCTTGGGTACTATCAGTGACCTATCTCCACATGGATGGCATGTGTGCTGTGACTGCATGAGCTTCTCACTGCAACCTCATATGGCTCAATAGGGCAGACACTAATCAGTGAGGATCAGAGGTTAGGAAATTAGTCCCATGATATACAGCTAATAAGGGGGTATGAAAAGTCACAGCAGCTTCCTCAGACAGCTGACTATAGTGGGCAGCTGAGTGGAATGTTACAGGCATTGAAAGACTGAAGATCTGACTGCAGAGGCACAGTGGGCCTGCCCTCCATGAAGTGGGCCTTGGGTGACAAAAATCTCAATACGGAAACCCAGGGAATGCAGAAATGGTGAATGCATGGTGAGAGGTCGAGCACGGTTTAAGCACAAATACTGTGAGGGAAACATGGCCCAGATCAGCTGTCATGAGGCTGGGCAGAATGGTGGAGGACAGAAAAGCTGCTAGGGAGCCCTTGCATGGCCACAGGGGAGACACTGCTCAGGAAGAGCACAGGCACAGGGTGGAATCTAGGGAGCCACCCCTCCTCAGTGCCCAGTGAATACAAGAAGTGAGGATGAGGACCAAGGGATGAGGAGGAGAGATGGGAGATGAGGAAGACGAATGGAGGATGAGGAGGCAGGATGGGGAATAAGGATGAGGGATAGAGGGTGAGGAGGAGGGATGGGGGATAAGGATGAGGGATGGAGGATGAAGAGGAGAGCTAGGGGATGAGGAGGAAAGATGGAGGATGAGGAGGAGGGATGGAGAATGAGGAGGAGGGATGGGGATAAGGAGGAGGGATGCAGGATGAAGAGGAGGGATGGGGATAAGGATAAAGGATGGAGGATGAAGAGGAGAGATAGGGGATGAGGAGGAAAGATGGAGGATGAGGAGGAGGGATGGAGGATGAGAAAGAAATGGAAGAGAAGGAGGGATGAGGATGAGGCAGAGGCAAAGGGGATAAGGAGGAGGGATGGGAGACAAGGATAAGCTATGAAGATGAGGGATAAAGGATGAGAATGAGGGATGGAGATGAAGAGGAGGGATGCAGGATGAGAAGGAGAAATGGAGGATGAAGAGGAAGGATGGGGATGAGTAGTAGAAATGGGGAATAAGAATGAGCTATGGGGATGTAGATAAAGGATGAAAGATGAGGAGGACGGATGGAAGAGGAGAAGGATGGATGGAAGATGAGGAGGAGGGGTGGTGATGAAGAAAAGCTATGAGGATGAGGAGGAGGGATGCAGGATGAGAAGGAGAAATGGAGGATGAGGAGGAAGGAAGGATGAGGATGAGTAGGAGAAATGAGGGATAAGAATGAGCTATAGGGATGCAGATAAAGGATGAAAGATGAGGAGGAGGGATGGAGGAGAAGGATAGATGGAGGATGAGGAGGAGGGGTGGGGATGAGGATGAGCTATGAGGATGAGGAGGAGGGATGCAGGATGAGAAGGAGAAATGGAGGATGAGGAGGGATGGGGATAAAGATGAGCTATGGGGATGTGGATGAAGGATGAAACATTAGGAGGAGAGATGAAAGATTAGGAGGGGGGATGGAGAATGAGGAGGAGGAATGGGGATAAGGATGAGGAATGGGGATTAAGGATGAAGGATGAGAATGAGGGATGGAGATGAGGAGGAAGGATGCAGGATAAAAAGGAGGAATGGGGATACGGATGAGGGATGGAGGAGGAGAAGCAGGGATGAAGAGGAGGAATGGGAATGAAGATGAGCTATGGAGATGAGAAGGAGGAATGCAGGATGAGAAGAAGAAATGGAGGATAAGGAGGAATGGGGATAAAATGAGCTATGGGGATGTGGTTGAAGGATGAAAGATGAGGAGGAGGAATGGAGGATGGGGAGGAGAAATGGGGATAAGGATGAGGGTTGGGGATAAAGTTGAGGGATGGAGAATATGGATAAGCTATGTGGATACGAATGAGGGATAGAGGATGAGGAGGAGGGGTGGAGGATGAGGATGAGAGGGAGGAAAGGGGGATGAGGATGTGCTATGGGGATGAATATGAGGGATGGAGGATGGATGAGGAGTAAGAATGGGGATGAGGGATTAAGGATGAGTGGGAGGGATGGAGGATGAGAAGAGGAATGGAGGGTGATGAGGAGGGATGGGGATAAGAATGAGAGATGGGGGATGAGAATAAGTGATGAAGATGAGGAAGAAGGCTGGAGGGTGAGGAGGAAGGGTGGGGATAAGAATGAGCTATGGGGATGAAGATGAAAAATGGAGGATGAGTAGGAGAGACAGAAGATGAGGAGGAGGGATGGGGATGAGGATGAGCTATGGGGATGAGGATGAGCTATGGGGATGAGGATGAGGGATGAAAGATAAGGAAGAAAGATGGGGGATGAGGAAGAGGGAGGAAAGATGAGGATGAGCTATGGGGATGCAGAGGAGGGATAAGAGATGAGCAGGAGGACCCTCCACTGGAGAGCTGGTATTACTGGCACAAGTCAGTTTTGGTATGAAGAAGAGGAGGAGAACTGAGGCCATAAAGAGGCGGTTTACATTGACAAAAGCAGGTGCAGTGCTATAATTCAGAGGCTCAGCCTCCAGGCTGCTGAACCACATTGTCCAGCATTTATTAACTTCAGTGTATACAATTCAGCAGATCTGTTTCCCAAGTATAGCAGAGAAAGTATAGAGGAGCAATGTAATGGAAATGCACACATCAAAGTGGCTTTTAGCAAATGTGAAGCTCTTGTTACCTGCAGTGAATAAAATCTGGCACAGGGTTATGTTGGCTGAAGGAGGCCGCATCAAGGTTCATGCAGATCTCGACATTGTCACCTGCCATGATTCGCACTGCAGCCTTGTTCTCATCCTCAAAAATCTGCCGTTGTAAGGAGGCACACAGAAGCAGCATGAAGTCATCTAACAAGACAGAGGTGAGATCATTAAGCCGCCTCATCCTCTTCTGATTTACATAATGCAACACACAGTCATCACACAGCAACAGCCATTCCCCAGCTCCTAAGTGAGTTGTGTTCCCAAAGTTCATAGTAAAATTCATCCTGGAGTCCAATGTCGGGGCCAAGTCACACCTTCTCCACCTTGCAGGGCATAGAGTGACCACAGACACTCCAGGAGCTTACGTGGGGAGTCTCTGAATTTTGTTTGCACATCGGTGAGAGAAATATTAGGTGCTACTTACTAGTCTTCATGAGTCTCTTAGAGGGTAACATTTTTGTGTGTGTGTGTGTGAGACAGAGTCTCGCTCTGTCGCCCAGGCTGGAGTGCAGTGGTGCGATCTTGGCTCACTGCAAGCCCCACCTCCTGGGTTCACACCATTCTCCTGCCTCAGCCTCCCAAGTAGCTGGGAATACAAGTGCCCGCCACCATGCCTGGCTAATTTTTTTTACCTCCCACCAGTTTTAAGGAGGCCACTTGAGCAATTTCCCCATCTTTATCTTTTTATGTGTGGTGGATGCAGACATTCATTTTTCTTTATCCTTTCCATCCTCCTTTGCATTTGTAACCAAAGACTGTCCCCAAAGCAGAAGCCACACTGCAAGTGTGGTGAGAGCAGGTGGAGGTGGTGGACTGTGCTGGACAGCACAGCGCAGCCTGAGAGAGCTGTCCTCCCAGCAACTGCCCACAAAGGGCTGAGGCCAAGCCTGCCTGGAAGCCTGAACACAAGCTGCTTCCTTGCTTTTAAAATTAAACCTAAACTTGTTTAGGCAGGGCAGTCATTTGCATTTTCTGTAAAACCCAGCACTCTGGTCTTGGAGGAGCTGCTCTGACCTTTGGATCACCAGCTGCCATGGGAAGGCCTTGGGGCTGCAGCCCAATTCTAGAGCAACTAAAATCTGGGAAGCATCTCCCAGCATCCACTGTCCCATGTTCAGGGTTTATTTATCTGCACTGGGAGCCAGAAACCACCAAGTCAGAAAACACAAAAGCCTTCCTCTCTGGTCTGTCTTTTGAAAGGTGGCTGTGTAAATGTGTGTGTGTGTGTGTGTGTGTGTTTGTGTGTGTGTGTTGGGGGAAGTGAAATTATGCAAGTGAATATGGCATTTCCAACACTGATTTATTAATTTTGCAAATGTAATAGGGTGAGTAGAAGCCATTAATGACTTGTGATATTAATGCATAAGACAAGCCTTTACATGATTACGAAGTCTAGTGGAAGACAAAAGGCACTAATGCATAGCACGTGAACAATGATTAACAGTAAACCCGGATACCAGCACTCTGTGGCCCTGCAGTGGAAACACTTACAGACGAGAAACACAGGGTTGGGCCGCACAATGAAATCTGGGAAGTACAGCCACTTTATGATGTTGTCATTGAAGCTGGCACCCTTGAATCTCCACGGGTAATCTGCAGGGAGGGAAGTGGCGAACAGCACAATCAATACTCTTCTTCACCACTCTTCTCCCAGCCGTCCGCTCAGTAATGGCTTCTTCTAAAAGTAGACGGCTCAAGGGAAGGGCAGGCTCACCTCGGCAAGGAGCAGGTGGGATGCCAATGCAGATGAAATACTGGAAGGTGATGATGCATGCCAGGAAGCAGCAGTACTTGGGCCAGATCTCTGCGATGGCTTTCCTTCTGCGTCTATATAAGACAGCGATCAGCCAGCAGGCGTGGATCATGGCATAGAAATCCATTCGCTGGCCAATGACGTTAACTGACATTAGGAAACAGGTCTGTGTAAAGATGAAAAGAGGCAAAAAAAAAAAATCAGGCATATGGGAAAGGGGACTGGTGATAGGTGTCAGGTCTGTGTAGATGGCGGAGACCCATGTCCCTCAGGGCAAGTCTGTCTGCACAGATTCACAAATGCTTGCTCTTTTGAGTGTCTCAGCGTGAAGACAGAAATACTGTACAGATTACTCCCAGGGAAAAACTGACTAAGTAGCTGTTATCATAACCACTTCAGACAATAAAGAGAACAGCCATTTTGATCTCCTCATGAAACATCACCATTCCTACTTCATTCTATGAAGGCACAGGCACTATCACAATCGTTTTAGGTTAAAACAGTTCATTTTGGCTGCAGCTTATGGTTTCAGAATGCACAAAAAGAAAGAAGATTAATACTTTATTATTTATTTATTTTGAGATGGAATCTTGCCCTGTCACCCAGGCTAGAGTGCAGTGGTGCAAACTTGGCTCACTGCAACCTCTGCCTCCTGGGTTCAGGCAATTCTCCTGCCTCAGCCTCTCAAGTAGCTGTGATTACAGGCGTGCACCACCACGCCTGGATAATTTTTGTATTTTTAGAAGAGATGGGGTTCCACCATGTTGCCCAGGCTGGTCTCAAAGTCCTGACCTCAGAAGATCTGCCTGCCTTGGCCTCCCAAAGTGCTGGGATTACAGGCGTGAGCCACCGTGCCCAGGCAGAAGATTAATACTTTATTCTTAATAAGAAACCTGTTAACACGGCAACTGATGGCCATGCATTTAGATGGCTCTGGAGATCCAGAGAGGCCAAGGCACTGCTGTGGAGGGGGGTGTTCAGCACCCAAACTTGGAAAACTTTCAGTCAAGCCAGTTAACCATCAGTACAAATACTTTCTGTTCTTCTCAAGGGGACAGCTATCATGCCTGCAGATGTATCACAAAGTTCCAGTGGCCAATTGGCCAGAAGCAGTTCTTTGAATTTTCATGGAAAAGAGAAATAAAACATATCAGCAAGGAAACTCACCTCCAGACCAAACTTGTAAAAGAAGTAATTAATGAAATATTTGGCACAATTAATAAGTCCATCATCTAGATGTAGTCTTGTAATGTCATGAAAGATAGTTCTAGACACAGGGGCCGTCAGGTTATTTCGACCTCGATAGTATTCCTGATGGCGGTAAATGGTGACTTCAAAGGCCAGGATAGCCAGCATCAGGAGGTTATTCTACAAAGCAAGGAAACACAAATGTGTCAGCCAGAGGCTTTATGATTTGGTAATTTCAAGCAATCCCCACATTCTGCACAGCTACAAGGACAATGTTTTATAAAAGCTCACCTCTCTTAAGCAGTTTTGAGCTCAATATTCGTTTTCTCTGTCTTATTTATTGTGGCATTATCTATATTAGAAAATCAGGCTAACTTCCAAAGTCATAGGATCTAGAATCTCCAAACATAAGATGCTGCTGCTCATTCCTACTTCTCACAACTACACATCTCACACCAAGGAAGCAATTTCCAGTTATCCAAGGAGGGCAGTTCAGCCTTGTTTGCAGCCAGAAGTGCAAAAACAGTACAGAGACATCCTGGGACGCACTGAGCTAAATGAACGGGAAGCTGCTTAGGGGGAAGCTTTTGAACACTCCTGAAATCTGGCTACAGACAGCAATAGATTGAAAAGCATGCTGACAACAGTAAAATAATAATAGTGATGATATAACTATTATTCAAGATAATGAAAATAGTTAACATTTATGGAACCATAGGTTCCAGACACAATTCGATCACCCTTTTCAAATACCAATTTGCTTTATCCTCATAACAGCTATTTATGGTGGGTACTGGTACAAAAGATATCTACCATGTGATGAAAAATCTAGAAGGTCCACAAAGAAAATGGGCTGCTTAATACATTTAAAAATCCCAGGTGCTGAGTGTAGAGGCTGTACCCTTAAATGCATTGCCAGTGTAACATGATTAGGACTGCTCAGATAATCCACAAAAATAAAATGTGAAAAATCTGAAGCATGTTGTTTTCATTATGTTTGTATGACTATTTGTACTCGTTTCCTTTTCTAAATATATGTTTTATTTTATTACTTCTAGATGTAGTAGATTCTCTTTATTAAAAACTATAGATAAACAGAATTTACACAGCGAAAATGTCTTGTAAGGCTATATCCGCTTCTCAGAAATAACCACTATTGAGCATTTGGTATACTTTACTTAATATTTTTCTTTGTGTCTAGAAGAGATCATACTATGCACAGTGTTTTGAAATTTGCTTTTTAAAAATCTTACTATATTTTAGACATGCTTCAATTCTAATGCACCCATCGACCTTAATCTTGTAATGGTCTTAACATGATTGTATAATGTTCCAATGAATGTATTTGTCATACTTTATTCAAGCAATCTCAGACCGTTTGATCATTTTCTCTTTAACATGCCACAATACTGATTTTAACACTTAGAGTTTGTTGCAAAGGTGATGCCAAATCCCACATGAGAAGATATGGTTACTATCAAATGTGATGTTAAGCGTCTCATGGAAAAGAATCCTGAACTATTATATAACGGAGTGGAGGCCCAAACTAAGCACGACAAAGCCATTACCCTCAGGTAGACTAGCAGAGGCGAAGACTTCCGCAGGCCGACCCACTCTGTAGGATCGATAGGAGCGCTGTAGAGCAGAGACTTGTTCAACTCATTAAAGGGGATGTTTGTTTGATTTTCATTTGGCTAAAAAGAAGAGAAAATGGAGTAAAAAAAAATAGCTCCACAGATTAGGAGAGCTCAGGTTATTTCTTCTTCAGCCTTGAGCAAAATGATAGTGGTAGGATGGGAGGGACAGGCCCATTTCAGGGGAGACCTCAGTATGAGACGAGGCTTAACACAGGCCCAGAGCACGACCAGCCAGGGAGAGGTGACTTACAAGCCAGGTCAGGCCAAATGTGCTTGGGGATGGGGGTTCCCCAAGTATCTGCCTTGCTTTGCTAAAGGGCAGTCAGGAATATTCCCCCATCACCGAGGCTCACCAAGGAACAGTTAACAGAGAAGTTCTCAGGCTTAATGGTTTGGAGCTGGTACAACATTTTGCAGACGATGATCACACACGTCCAGACTGTGCAGACACTTGAAGCCAGACGGCGCAGCTTGGCGTACGGCAGAGCAAAAGCCCAAGAAATCAAAAATACATAGTTGAACAGAGACACCTGAAAACGTAAAACCAGAAATGGGGACAAAAATACGTAACACGGCATAACAAACAGGACAGCCACAAAACAGGATGACTTGATTTACTCAGTTCGGCAAAAGCAGACTGGATTCCTAGCATGCGCAAGGAATTGCCCTAGGTGCTGGGGTACTAAAGTAGGTGAGTTATGGTCTCACCCCTCAAGGGCATTATGTCTTGTATGGCAGACAGACATATCATCAGGTGACATCAATATCATGTAGCACTGGCTAAGCTATCAATGTGGGCAGGCTCCTGTGAGAGCGCCCAGAAGGGTCCTTGGTCCAATGTGGAGGTCAGGAAGCACTTTCAAGAAGAGACAGTGCCTGAACTAAGCCAAGCCAAGAAAGATGAGAGGTGGATTCTTTAGGTAAAGGAGGCATGAATGAAGGCAGGAAAGCATGAGCTAGCATGGTGGGGACAGGCAACAACAAACGACTGGAAAGTTCAGAGTTGAAAGTGTGAAGTGCAACAGGAGGTGAGGCTGGAGATGCAGCTACAGCCAAGTTTTGATGGATCCTTTTTACACCATGCTATGGCACGGGAGCCCATTCTTCAGAAAACTGAGAGCTGTGGAAGGGCATTACACTGGGAATTTGGAGGTAAGATTTGCTTCCTATTGAGATAAATGTAACTGATGAATGGAGGGCCCATTGTGGGGACTGGACACGACTTTTGGGTGACCCACTCACGTGCCGCGGCAATAGCCCAGGGAAGATGGGGAGGAGGCGCGGATTCAACATGGGAGGCAAAATTAGCTGGACTTGATGACTGATTGGCTTGGTGGGCCGGTGGGTAAGACAGAAAGTTCAAGGAGTGATTCCCAGGTTTCCACTTGGGAGCCTGAGTGGATAACAGTGCCATTACTGAGACAGCAACGCTGATAGGGAAGCTGGTCAGAGCAGCAAGGTTATGAACTCAGCTTGAACCTGTTGACTTTGGGCTGCATGCGAGTTCGTTGATCAGGCCAGATGTTCCCACATTTCTAGCAATTCTTTATAGTTAATAGTCCATTGGACAGTATAGAAGGACCACCATCTTCTTCAGGCATGGGAAACGCTCATTTATTCTGCATATTTTTATGTTAAAGTAATATCCTAGAAATGTTTAATATTCTCAGGTAGAAATAATAGCATGCTCTCATTTGATACAACTAAACATGTACCAAGCATTGTGGGCTAAGCATTGTGGGCTCTAAAAGACATAGTTACCTACTTGGCTTATAAAACTATAAAAGAAGAGGCCGGGTGAGGTGGCTCACGCCTGTAATCCTAGCACTTTGGGAGGCCAAGGTGGGTGGATCACGAGGTCAGGAGTTCAAGACCGGCCCGGCCAAGATGGTGAAACCCCGTCTCTACTAAAAATACAAAAAATTAGCCGGGCGTGGTGGCAGGCTCCTGTAATCCCAGCTACAGTGGCCGAGATCGTGCCACTGCACTCCAGCCTGGGTGACAGAGTGACACTACGTCTCAAAAAAAAAAAAAAGTTTAAAAAATTATAAAAGAAGAAAATGTGGAGACTACATGACTGTATTTAATTCTGCTATTTGTTACCTGTTACTCTTCTGCTCAACTATTTGTCACTGTCCAATGCAAGGAAGCTCTCTGAGAATTAAGTGCTGAAATATTAAAGTAGGAAGAGATGCCTTATAGAATTAATTGAAGATGAAAGAAATACTGTACATGGAAAGGCCCTGCAAACCATAACTCACTCATAAACATGTTACCTTTTAACAAAACAGATAGATTAGCGAATTGACTCTTCCTCCATAGTCATCAACAAGTGTCTCGTCAATTTGGATATTAAAAAGCAAACCCTATTAAAGATGCTGTGAAATTAACTCAGTTATGTCTGTTATTATGTATCTAAGGCCTTTAGTAAAGACAGCACAATTAATTTATTCAGAACTTTTAATTTTCTGAGTGATGGAGAAAGGGAAGTAAAGGTGGTAACTTTCATTAAGTCTTAACTAGGTTCAAGGTGACACATCCCCTGAGGATTCCCTGCCCGCAGGAGGCATGTGGGAGGGACAGATGGAGGCACACAGGCACTTGGTGACAGCGTAAGGGGACTGAGACCTGACGAATAAACAGGAGTTAGACAGGCAGAAGAAATAGCAGGTCCAAGGTCCTTCCAGACTTGGGAGAGCATGGGCTGCCCATCCTTGGAGAAGCAAGTGATTCATTGTGAGAGAAGTGTGATCTGAAACCTGTCAGGGGACTTTAAAACCCATCCAGCGTCTTAGAGTGTCCAGGAATGGCAAAGGTGAAGTGGTGTGGGCTGGATCCCGGGGGTCTTATACCACGTTACGGTGAGGATGCCAGGCAGCTGCTGCAAGGTTTCAGGTAGAAGTCTCTCATGATCATATCTGCCCTGTGGGAAGACTATTCTGGCCGCATTGTGGAATACGTATTGCAAGGAGAAAGGATTGGGCAAAGCTGGGAATCTGTAAGAGTAATCTAAAGGGCAATGGAGGCAGAGGGAGTGAGTAGGACACCTGAAAGAGCTTTGGGGCCACTCAAGAAGTGGGGTCAGGCCCAGCTGTCAGGTGGAAACAGGGGCCTGGAGTTCAAAGAGAGTAGTGAGTTGACACAGATTTTGGGACTCGCAGCAAGTGCAGGAGTCCTGTGCTTGTGAGCTCGTGAGCTCACCCATGAGAGTCCAGAACAGAAACACGCTGTGGACAGAGACTGAGGAACATGCTGAGGAAGCTGGTGGGAAGGGCGGGATGAGTCCAGCAATGAGACAGGAAGGGCCTGATGAAACTGTGGGGAGGGGCCGGGAAGGTGAGCTGATGTCCAAAACAAGAGAAAGGAGAGCTTCAATGACAAGGAAAGGATCCCCTGTCCTCAGCATCCTAGAGAAGTCAAATCAGAGGAGGACTAAAGAGCCTCTGTGCGGTGAATATTTTTATTTTTATCATTTTACAAATAGAAAAACTGGGGCTCAGTGAATGAAGTATGATACTTCATTCCATACAAATATCAAGCCCAGTGCAAACCTCAGTGCGCCTTGCCCTCTCACAGTTCTGTTATCTAAAGAGATCATGATCTCATCATTTTCCTGATGGTAAGAATCTCGTGGAAGGAAAGAAGAAGAAAGAAGGAGGAACAGGAGGAGGAGGAGGGATAAGGAAGAAGAAGAGGAAGGAGAAAAGGGGAGAGAGAAGGGGAAGCAGAAAGGAGGGGAAGGGGAAGGAGAAGTAGGAGGAGAAGGAGGAGGAGGAGGACAATGACTATGACAAATACCTGGGCCACAACCAACACCTGATGAATTAGAATTTTAGGGAAATAGATGCTGGTCCACGTACATAACAACTGTCCAGGTGATTCTTACTATCAAGGATTTTGAGAAACAGTTTTATGCAATAGTGCTTTCCCAAAAAAGCCCTGTACACAGGTTGTCATCCTATCTGAATATAACCTTGTGGGGCCTGAGGGCCCTGCCTCAAGGGAAGGGGCCTCTGAGAACCAAAGCCTCCTGGGCCCTGCACTTACCCATCCCTGGCTTCCCTCTCCCAGAGAACCCCAGTTGCAACTATCACCTCCAGGCTGCAACCGCCTGCAAGAGATACTCCTCCCTGTGCAGCAAGTGCTCACTGTGGACACCTCTAGCACAGCAGTTATTATCACTTTTAGTTTTATTTGGCAGCCATTCCCATCAGGCTGTGAGCTCAGACAAGAAGTGTGTCTTTCAAGCTACTACACTAGCACCTAGCACCATGTACGCATTCACTTTATTGTGAGTCCTTAATAAAGGCTCAATGAATGCTTAGTGAGAGTGAAAATAATAACAATGATGAGACAGACAAGAAGGAGAAACCTCAGGTCTGCAAAAGTTTCCTTCCTTCCTTCCTCCCACCTTCCATTCCCTCCCCTCCCCTCCCCTCCCCTTCCCTCCCCTCCCCTTCCCTTCCTTCTCCAATTGGCCAGGCCCCCCAGGGAGGAGCTGAGGTGCTAACAGAAAGTGTGGCTCTTGCTCAAGACTCACTGACCTCACAGAGCTGTCCAATAGCCTTCGGAATTAGAAAGTAGCTGTGTATTTCAAAAGGAGGAGAAAATGTTTATGTATACTATATATATATTTAAATCTAGATTATTCCAAAGCAGTGTCACTCCTGAATAAGATGCTGATGGAAAATAAAGGTTTCTCTGTTTCTTTTCCAGCAACTTCTTCTTTTTCAGATGCTTCATGATGCTAACTTTGAAAAGGTTTAATATTTGCAGGAGAGATGAACCCAAAAGTTGTGAAAACAAGCACCCTTACTGAGGCCTTGGGTAAGGATGTCTGGAACCCAGAGCTGCCACAGCTCCTGAAGAGCTTTCTTTGTGGAGAGGGGCTGCATCCTGCCTGTCCCCCAAGCCCCCAGTGCCAAGATGATGGGGCAGGTGGGGATGCAGGGAGGAGAACGTCCTCTGCGCGCAGCCCGAGTGAGGAGCTAATGACTCGGAGCCCGATGCGTGAACCCTGGAGCTTGGGCACTGGTACCCATGGGGCCAGAAGAGATGAAGAGCTCTGGTTACAGGGTGCAGAGTCTCTTTGCTGGGCTCCATGTGTACAAGCAGAGCAGGGCCTGTGTGAGGGTGGCCCCTGGTCCTGATGGGGAGGCACAGAGCACCCAGAGCTGCTCCAAGGCTGCGGGGAAGGCTGTCTGGAAGGGCAGCAGGACTCCACAGAGGAGTCCAGGAGGAGAAGGTGCTGGCAACCAGGGGCTGGGTGTCAGTGCCGGCCAAGAGTGGCTGTGGGATGCCCCACCGTGGAGCCTCCAGGAGGGCAAGGGCAGGTTTACCCGCCAGTTGCCAGCCCAGAGCGTGAGGCCATCATGGGATGGCACAGGCCAAGTCACAACATCCCCATCCCAGGGGGCCTTGCCCTGAGCCTGTGAGTCTGAGCTCCAGCCCAGGAAAGAATAAAACAAAAGAAGGAATAAAGAGCCTCTGTACAGTGGATTTTTTTAAAAAAGGACTAAAGAGCCTCTGCGAGGTGGATTTTAAGGAGATGTGGGTGAGAAAGAAAGGATCAGATAAGAAAGGAGGAGCTTCTACCTGGGGAGGGACCCGAGTCTCGATGATTCTCTGTGGGTGCACAATTTTAACTACTGAAGTGAGATTTTGCTCACTTAAGTCACTGTAGGATTTTGTATTTCTTAGGAATGATCAGAAAGTGCGCTGTGTTCAGGGACACGGAGGAAAGTTTCCCTGTAGGATGCATTCTAAAGGGACCATGAGGGTCTGAAGAGAAGTCTTTTGATTGGATGTCATCACCAAATTGATTGCTTAGTGTGCCAATTACATTAGAAAGAGCCAGCAATGCACACACTGTCAAGAACCCAGAGACCAAAGCTTCAGGGCCGGAAACCCCCCATGCAGGTGGGGTGACATCACGCACAACACGAGTGGCTGAAACAATTTTACAGCAATGGGATTTGGCAGATGCTAGCAGCAGAAAGAGCAGGATTTCTATGCTTCAGGAGTCTCTCACTTGTTTTAAAGTTAAAGGTGAGAGAGATGAAATTAGGAATGAAAATTCTGAAAGTCTGCACAATGTGTGAATCACAGAGAAGGGAGTGGTGATACTCTATGGAAGGCTGTTTTCCCAAGAGTGTAACAAGGTAACTAGATATTCTGTTTACTTGATGGTCTGTTAACAAGTTTATGTCTGGGGACTCATTAAGGATAATGAAAAAGTTATGTCTGCCTTTTGTTTAGGATCTATAAGAAATTGCATCCTTTAACCCTTTTCTGATGGATGGATTGTACAACAGGATGGATTTATGACAGCAGATTCTCTGCGTCCGACTCCCATGAATTTCCGCTCCCCCAATGCCCACTCCCATCACCACACTGTCTGAACACACCTTCACACCCTGCCACGCAGCTTCTCATGAATCAGAAGTCACCTGTACCTCAGACTGGATTTGTTCAGAAATGGTCTCTGTGCATTTTTTGTCAAATGCCTTCTCTTGTTCTTTTCCATTTCTCTTTAATACCCTAACCCTGAAATTTTTATCTGAACTGTTCAATTCACCTCTACAGTTAAAATGCTTAAATGTTGGCTCTCAATGAATATAAATACTAGGCTAGATTTGGGCTCCATTTAACGTATACGCCCAGTGACTTAACATTGGAGCCGCTGCCATTTCCCCACGAATCTCGCAGATAGAATGGCTTCTGTTTTCATTCCCACTTGGCAATGATTCCCTGCCCATTTCATATGGTTTGTATGAAATGGGGGAGAAGTTCTAGTTTAGACTATGGAGCTCAAATTAAGGTTCATCTCTTAGCTACCTATTTGTGAAAAGTTTTAGGTTTGTAGTGTTGTAGTTGTGATATTTTACTGTTATATATGTAACTTTTTAAAGATTATAGGCAGTACTCCCTTGATTAATTTTTAGAGGGCAAAGAATTCTTGAATTGTAACCAACTCAGAAATAATCCAGGCATATAGAAGTATGCAAACACTATTTGTTGAATAAAAGGAAAGAAAGCTAATTTCTCTGCAGTGAACATTAAATAATCTGTTGGCTGGATGACGACTCTCTTCTTTACAATCAAGGAAACAGAAGTGCAGTACAGGTGCATGGCTGAAGACTTTGTATTGTATCTCAAGAAATCCAGTAGTAAACAAGGTGAACTCTACTAAAGATTTTATTAGATTTTGGAACCTGAGCTTTCTCCTTGGTAATGTAAACTGGAATGCTACTGTTTTCCTTGGAGAATTTAGGGAGATAGATTCCCATAGGCAGGGGCAGAAGGGCAGCCTGCTCTCACACTCTTCCCTAAGGATTCGATGAAAATAAGTAGCCTTTGTAATATGACCAAGCCAACGAGAAACTCAGCCACGAGCCTCTTTCCTTTTTCTCAGTGCTGCTGACCCTCGGATTTCTGTAAGTGTAAGTACTTAGTCTTGGAGTCTTGATACTCCGATGTAATGCGGATCACATTAAAAAAATCATGGACAGCTGGAAAAGGAAAATGATGACCTACTGTGGTTCTGTTCAGCCTGATGATAGGACAAATGTTCACTTGCCTCTTTCACAGAAACCCAGATAATGTAAGAGGAAACGATTTTGATGATGTGCAACTCCAAAATCCACCACATGAACACCTGCAGCTTGTGAAAATACTCCAGGAATTTTAAGAAGAGCACAGTGAGGCGGTCAATCACCAGGTGCCATTTGTTCCTTAAGTCTGCAAAATAGGAAGTACAGACAAGAGCATAACATTTTTAAAAATATTATCATTTAAAGCATATCTTGTAACTTTCAGGTTGGAATGAGAGGCTGCAAAATAATTACAGTGGATGAATTCTAAGAAAACCAAAATCTGGAATAAGGATGATGTAAGAATCCCAAGTCATGATGACACAGATATCATACTCTCAGACTTGGAGGGACAATGTGGCTTTTGTCCACCTTTTGATTAAATTAGTGTAAAGAAGGATTTTGACATTATCTTCCTTCCTTCCTTCCTTCCACTCGCTTGCTTGCTTGCTTTCTCTCTCTCTCTTTCTGACAGAGTCTTGCTCTGTAGCTCAGGCTGAAGTGCAGTGGCATGATCAACATTATTTACTTTTCTTTCTTTCTTCCTTTTCTTTTTCCCTCCCACCCTCCCTCCCTTCCTTCCTTCCTTCCTTCCTTTTTCTGACAGAGTCTTGCTCTGTAGCCCAGGCTAGAGTGCAGTGGCACAATCTCGGCTCACTGCAACCTCTGCCTCTTGAGTTCAAGCGATTCTCCTTGAGTAGCTGGGACTACAGGCACATACCACCATGCCCAGCTAATTTTTGTATTTTCAGTAGAAATAGGATCTCGTCATGTTGGCCAGGCTGGTCTTGAACTCTTGGCCTCAAATGATCCACCAGCCTCAGCCTCCCAAAGTGCTGGGAGTACAGGCATGAGCGCCCATGCCCCCAGCCCCCTTAATCTTATTTACTCTTAAGACCAAACTATAATTTTCTAATATTCTAGGAATGTTAAATAATCTTAACTCCTTCTAAAAGACATCTTTCTTGCCACAACGGCACTTTTATAAATGGCCTGTCTCCTTCGACAAGGCTTAACTGGTGAGTGGTAAAGCTCTCTGGTTTCCATGAAAAAGTGAACCAGTCAGAGCCCTGCATGGGCAGGAAGAGCTTGCTCCTTGTCAGAACAAGAAGTGAACTCTAAGCATCAGAATGACTCAGCCCGTGGTTTTCTGAAACATGGTCAGATTCATTCAAATGATAATTTTTAATCAAATTACTTATTTTATTATTTCTACCTTGTGCTAAAACAGGAGTCATGCTTCTATCTAGAAGGACTATGCTGGCTCACTTTATTGACTGAAAGTCACAGCAGGACTGTTTTGTAATATCAGCCTGTCTTGTTTGTAAACAAAAGCTTACAAGTCTGTCTTGGCAGATTACAAGTCCTAAGTATCTCTTTAAGTAGCTTCTTTAACTGGCTTGGGTATATGCAACAGTTACTGTGCCTGGTTCTGAAAGCTAAGTAAGGTTCTAGTTATTGTGAAGTATGCTTACAGTAGTTCTCTTTTATCCATGGCTATGCTTCCCAAGATTTCAGTTACCTGCAGTCAACCACAGTCCAAAAATATTAAATGGAAAATTCCAGAAATGATTCAGAAGTCTTAAGTTACACACTGTTCTGAGTAGAAGGATGAAATCTCATGCTGTCCCGCTCTGTCCTTCCCCTTGGAATGTGAATCCCTTTGTCCAGCAGGGCCATGCTGTCTACACTCCCTGCCCAGTGGTCAGTCAATTAATAGCTGTCTCAGTTCTCAGAGTGACCGCTGCAGTATTGCAGTGCTGTGTTCAAGTCACTCTTATTTTACTTTCTAATGGCTCCAAGTGAAAGAGTAGTGATGCTGGCAATTTGAATATGCCAGAGAGAAGCCATAAAATGCTTCCTTTAAGTGAATGGTTAACAATTCTCAATTTTATTAATAACGAAAGAAAAAAATGTATGCTGAGGTTGCTAAGATCTAAGGTAAGAACAACTCTTCTATCTGTGTAATTGTGAAGAAGGAAAAAGAAATTCATGCATAGTGTATACAGGGTTCTGTGTTATCTGAGGTTTTAGCATCTACTGGGAGTCTTAGAACATGTCCCCCAAGGCTAAGGCAGGACTACTGTATTTAGAGAGTGACTCAGATGGTAGTCAATAAAAAGGTGTAGGTAATAAATGAGCATGATTTAGACGTGTAGCTGCCACAGACATGAGGGATTGAGAGAAAAGTGGCTGAGCAATTTTGGGCAGGACCTATTAGCAAAGCTCAAAATCCATCTTGAAGTAGTGTCATAAAATCCTAGACTTAAGTCCTTGGCCTCACAGAGCTGGGGTCTCCCCTTCACACTGAGGAATTCACAATGCTCAGATATGGAGAGAACGTTTCCAGTCCTCTCCTCTGTGTTCTGAGATGAGTGGGGAAAGAACACCAGGTTTAAGGGGCACAAACCTTTGGAAGGGGTCTTCTTGCTACTTTTTTTGTTTTCTACTTTTGTTAAGGACAGTTGACCAGCAAAGACAAGTGCAGCATCTTAAGATCATAGCCCCAGAACCTCACCCCAGAGATGATGCTCTCTGGTTTGTCCCAGTCTTTCTGGAAACTGCTACATAGACTTTATATTCTCTGTCAGATAACATGTCCTGATCACTGAGGCTGCTCAATGTTCATCATGCTCTATTAAAACATTATTTCAAGTCTAGGAAGGGAAGTAGAAAAGAAGAGCCCAAATAATAAAGATTGAAACTCCTGTAACAACAATATTGACAAAAACATCTCTAGGAGTTTGCTTGAAATTATAATTATCCAATTGCTGACTTTCTCCTCCAGTTCCCATGTCCTTAGGCATCAGATCAGAGCTAGAAATATATTCTTAATTATTGGCTTCCTGGAAAAGTCTCAGAATGGTTTCTTGAGAATGCATTTGTAAGGGCGATGTCTAGAGCCTTTGAGATTCTGCACAGCCAGGTTGTACCTGCATCTGGTAGAAACAGAGAGGCTCTGACTGAGGACGTGGTCAACACCATGCCCCACCAGTGTCTAGACAGGAGCACTACTTGAGGGTCAGTCACTGATAACCAGTCGTCTGGTCTCTACTCAGTCAGAATTAAAAAGAAATTGTTGGAGCAATTGGAACAGTAATATTATAACTATAGCAATCAAACAAAAACCACTCCAATTTTTATGTCATGGACTGGGTCAAATATATATTCTTTTGGAGCAAGTCAATGTTTCCTTCACTCAGTCTGACAGCCAGCGTTCTCTGACCAGCTGCTGGTAGTGGGCTGATTACCTGATGTTTCTTCCTCCTCCTCGGATTCCTCCTCTTCCTCTCCGTCCTCCTCTGACTCCTCGCTGTCTTTCCCAAGATCACCCTTCTGGGCTTTTTCAGAGTAGCCCTCAAGCTTCTCCTCCCCAGGCTCAGCCAACTTCCTCACCTCCGGCTTCTCCAGGCTGGCAGTCAGATGCATCATGGTGAGGTCCGGGAGGCTTCCTTCCGGGTGGGCCAGTCTGTTGGCAGAGAGCAGCTGAGTCAGAAGAGGAAAGGGTGTTGGGAGAGATTTGACTGAGGGGCAAGTAAAAGGAGGATAAACACAAATGAAATCAGTGCATGTACAAAGACCTCACAAGGTGGGGTGTTAGCGTTTTGTCACTTTCTTTTTGGTTGGTTTGTTTGTTTTAAGTTCTTTCTAAAAACAAACTGTAAACTTGGTTAGGTTTTGTTAGCTTTTTTAATTCGGGTTCTAGTGATTAGTTGGTAATGAGAGCTATCAACACCTAAACTTGACATTTTTCCCAGAGGAGAAAATGGTCAGAGTTTAGGGTGTAGAAGCATGAAATGGCATCATGTAGAGCAAGCATTTCATGGCTTCACAGGGGGACTTACTCATTTTGGTGGATTGGTAATTTTTTCTTGATGCTGCTCATAGTAATTGAAATAGAAAGGAAAAAAAGGAGATGAGAACAGAAGAATTATAAGGAATGTCAGAGATCACATATCATGCTACATATCATCCACTATTGCATTCCTGTATGCCTGTTGCAGTAACGCCCTAATGCCAAATGCATTCCAGGGTGGCATCAATAGCGTGCTTTGCTCTGAACCCTAGGCATGGCAACTGATCTGAGAGTGGACAGGATTGCAGGTTTGTAAAGGAGAGAGCATACTGAGACTGCTGAGGCAAATTATATCATGCTTTTTTAGTAACGCAACAAACCATCTTGCAAGAATCAAGTCATTCACATTTTTGGTAAGTTTTTAAAAATTTCTTGAAAGAATGTGTGCTTTCAGTCAACCTTTGTGTAGACGAATCCCACTCTGCCATCTAAAGCATGTGCCATGGAAGCTAAGTGTTTTCAGGAGTGAGACGTCTGCATCATGTCCCCACCTGAGAGTTACTGATGCGAACTGTCGATTGGCAACCGTGGGAAGACTGTGTGAGATCCTGAACCAGAGAAAGAATACAGGGAGAGAGAGCTTCCGGTGAGCCCACTCAGCAGCCTGGGATGTTACAGTTTATTTCTTAGTGGACCATAACAAGTCCCATCCTTCTCCTACAGTTTTTTTTAAAAGCATATCTTTTTATTCATACTCAAATTAATGTTTTAAAGAACTTCTGGGCAATAAAGTCTACATTAAGAAAAAGCCTAGTAGACATACTGATAGTCTTCTCTATTTATCATAGTTAATCCAGAAATTTTTAGCAGGGTTCAAACAAGATGGACAATAAATAATATTATTCTATCTGGATAATTGTAGGTTCTGAGTAAACTATTTAACTTTGTGAAAGTTAATTAATTTTCTACCAAATGAGGAAGTTTGATTAGATAAAATGCAGGTTTACTTTCAACTTGTTGATTTGATATTTGTAAACATGCCTATCATTTTGGGTAACTGTCGTAAGGAATCCACATTGTCCCTACGCTTTTAGATTATCATTCAAACAATTCCCTTGCACAGGATGTCCAGCAGGTAAATGATAGTATGCCAGAAACAGATTGTTAATTTAATGAAGAGAGAGAATCTGAAGCGAGTTTTACATTGGTGGAAGGAGTTAGGCTGACATACTACTTCCTTATTTTCCTAAGCTAGTCAATTCATCCTCTCGACTTTGGAGAAGTTAGCTACTCTTAAAATTGCAACCCATATCTTCTATACCAGTGCCACACACCAAATCTCAGGGAACACATTTGCTGTTCCTGCTTTGTCAGGACTCTCCATGTGAAATGTTATTAAATGTGGAAGTGATCGGCTGCTGCACAGTCGTCAGTATGTATTTGTTCTCTTCAGGGATGCATTTTATAAATGAAAAGATACCTTTATTAAGACAAGGAATTCGGTGGTTGCAGTGTGAGGTGGGACCACCTCAGAGTGAATCTTAAAGGTCTACATTGACACTGCTGCAATCTCATACGACAAGAAAACTACTTTCTAACAATTACTGCTATTAACAGAGTGAAACTCAAAGAGGGGAGGCTGTTTCCACAGCTGCTACTACAGCTACACAGCAGATGTCCTTAAGCAACGATGCCCCCAAACTGCCATGCCACAGGCAGGGTGCATTGAGGAGAGATCGTTCAATGAAAGAATCAGAGGAAGACACTGGAGTAAGCCTTTTGGAAGTAGGTCCACAAGGCTGATTTCTAGAAACTTGTAATGGGACAAGATGCAGCTGCGGACAAATGAGAAGGGCATCTCTGCATCCAACACTGCTCATTCCCTCTGACCTTAGAGCCACAAACTCCAGACCCTCTCTGGAGCAGTCTAACCTCATGAGCTTGTAATGGATGACAAAAAAAGAAAAAAAAAAAGAAATTATGTATCAGGCTGTCATTTACTAGTCTAGGGGTTTATTAACTATCTTGAGAAATTTCAGAGAATTGTACCTTGTATTGTAAAAAACTGTGTGCATAAAACATAGATAAAAATATTTTAAATGCATGAATAAAGTATACTGTTTCAAAAAGACACTTGTGTGAATCCTTTTACTTTTCTCTCTCTCTTTTTCTCATTTTTATGGTAACATTGTTTTTAGAGGCCATAGAGAAGAACGTTAAAAGACTTGGGTTCAAGTCTTCACCAGAAAACTTGCTAGCTAGGTGAGATGGGAAAGCTATGTAACCTATCTTTTAAGTCTCGGTTAGCTGAAACAGTAGTGCCTATTTATAGGAGGTTGTAAAAATTAAGGTGGTTTCTGTTAAGCAGTTAACACAGTGGTTAATTACACAGGAAACATTTTAAAATAAGGAGCCATCTTCTAATGGTAGATTTTCATATATTATGGTTTGATAATCTGCATCATAAATTCATTGTAAAGAAAAAGCAGAATTAGAAACATGCTTTTGTAAGAGCCTGCACAATGATGGATGATACGGAAGGTATTAAACTTAGACTATGATTCTGTCATCAGCGCCTTCTTTAACAGAACTTGGCTATTTTATAGAAGGCCATTCAGAAGAAAAAAAAGGAGCAAACATTTCTTCATCGGGAATCTGTTTCCCAATGGTCTCAGGGTTCTGTTTACTGGGCTTTCTGTGTGTAATCTCAACTACTGCATTCCCTGAGGAGTGGGAGCGGCAGAGGTGGTTCTGCACAAATGCAAGCTTTCGAGGCAGACCCAGCTGCGGTTGCTAGAAGAAACAGCTGTATGGACTCTCCGGGAAAGCCTGTGTATTTTAATTCAGCTTTTTTTTTCCTTCCTAGCAAATAAAAAGAAAATGGATCTTGATTTTCCAAAAACAAAATTTAAAAACCCACTCTAGTAAAAATACTCCTGGAAACTTCAGGCTAAAGAACTTATAAGACTTGTAATTCTTTACTGAACATCAGGCTTCAGGCTAAGGAACTTATAAGACTTATAATTCTTTACTGAATATCAGGTGCAAATTACCTAGTGGTCATATGCAGGATTTTGACTTTGGGACTCCAAATAATACGCATGATGATGAACAGGATTCCCGGAGAAGCCCCCTCCTCCACTGCCTTCAATCAGGCTGCTTTGGATGTCTTTCTCCACAGGAAGTGCATTTCTTCTCTTAGGGTTTTCTTTAACATTACTGATAACTTTGTTTCCTTGCTCTTATTCAGGCTCTGAGCTCTAACCTTCTCACTGACCATTAAGCAAAATGGCTCTCTCCTTTCATGTTCTAACGGAGCAGATGACAAGTATTTGTTTGTGTCTTCACTCACTCTACACTTCCACAGCTTTGTGCAACTCCCAATGTGTGTGTTTCTCCATTTGTGACTCTGTCATTTTATTCTAAGTATGGGTTCTGGGGACTTTCCCCTTGAAGACAGAATCCAGTCCTGCTCTACTCATCACCCTTACAAAATGTAGTACTGTGCCTGGGGTGCACTATAATTCACTGAATCTTGGGTGAAGAAATTTTATGCACTGGAGATACATCCTTATTTGAAACAGAAGAAACAAATTACTTGACAGGGACGCTCAAAGAGGGTTAATTCTGTACAAGAACCTGACTTTGAAAAGCTGCATAGTAAACTACTTTCCATTAAAGAAAATGGAAATTCTAGCATTGTAAAATCTCCTTAGTCTGAATGTCATTTGTTTTTATGATTCTAATTTGGAATATGTGGTAATATAAACTGCACTGACACTGTTATCATTAGACTATTAGCAGAAAGGTGACTTGCACCTGTGTAGTGTTTAATATAAGTAACATTTAAAGTAAAATAATTTTACTGTTTAAGATAAATTATTATCTAGAACTCAAAAGCACTCTCAGAAGATTGTATTCACATATAGGCACTTGGTTTGTGAATTGAATATTACATCTTAATTATGTGTGTTGGTAAAATGTATACTGTTTACTAGGTCAGTTGCAACTTAACCACAATTATCTATATTTTTAAAATGTTATCAAAGTGGCCTACTGTCCTCAATACACTACCCTACCTTACAACTTGTAAAGTCATGTCTAAATTTTAATCAACTCTTAAGTTGAATTGTAGGTATGCCCCTCTTTCAGCCCAGAACTAACATTTATAAACATTTTATTCTCCTTATAAAACACTGAACATAAAGAAATAATGAGAGAAAGCAAGCTTATATACTTTATTAAAGGATTCACCCTGTCATTCTAATGGATAATCAGCCCTACTCAACACTGCATACAGCATTTCAGAAGCACACATTATAAAATGAGGGACAGGCTTGTTTGATAACGTTTCCTTTGAGGCACAGCTCTGGCTGCTCTTTTTTTTTTTTTTTTTGAGAGGGAGTCGCTCTGTCGCCCAGGCTGGAGTGCAGTGGCACCATCCCGGCTCACTGCAAGCTCTGCCTCCCAGGTTCACGCCATTCTCCTCCCTTAGCCTCCCGAGTAGCTGGGACTACAGGCGCCCGCCACCACACCCAGCTAATTTTTTGTATATTTAGTAGAGACAGGGTTTCACCGTGTTAGCCAGGATGGTCTCGATCTCCTGACCTCATGATCCACCTGCCTCGGCTTCCCAAGGTGCTGGGATTACAGGCGTGAGCCACCACACCCGGCCTCTGGCTGCTCTTAACATGTTTATATTCACACAAAAATAGGAGATTTCACTGGAAAGAAGGTAAAGATGGGATATTGCAAGTTTTTGGTCATTTGGGGTGACTTTGAACTTTGATACTTCTAAGAAGTCCTGAGAGAATTAGCTGGCCTTGTGGCTTGGGATAAGGGGCATAAGCTCCCATTCATGATATAAGTCTCGTCCTTCGGGATCAAAAGTCATACGAGTTGCTGCCAAGGGAGCCCATCAAACCAACTCTTGCCCTCTTATGGGTCTCAGCTTTCTCTTTACAAAGCAAATGCTAAATGCTTCATAAGAAACACAGAGAAAAAGAGAGTGAGGAGTTCCTTATGTTTGGAGGGATGGGATTTAGATTATTGCTCAGGATTTCTAGCTAGAGTCTGTTTCTTACTTCTCTTCCTATCAGCTGAAAAACCTGTTGTTGATGTTTCTTTTTCAGGTTGTCAAAAACCAGCCCCCAAAAAACCTGACAGGCCTCGTTCATTCCTCCTCCCTCAGCAATCCACAAGTGACTCTGCTTTTCATACTTGGTTAGAAGTTCTGCCTCTTAGGGTTTGTAATTTGGTTGTCTGCCTTAGGATTTTACCTATAAGAAAAGCGAACGGGGTAGAAAACCAACAAATCTTTTGAAGAATTATTTTGTTAATTGGATTTATTGCAAGATATATTTCTCTTACTAAATTACTAGCTTTATTACTAATGACATGCAATTACAAGAGTGAATATTTTAATTCACCTACTTAGTAAAGTAAAATAGTTTTAGTAAGTTAGATCCCAAAGGATAACTCTGGAGGATAACCTATTGCACGACATTTATCAAAACTTGCTTTTTATTTTGTGTGGACATTATATGTTTTATCTCCCTAGCTAGGTGATATGCATCTGAAGGAAAGTCCATATCTCAGTGCCATCTCAGTGCCTTTTGTGCTGTGCAAACATATGAAATCTGGTGATGTAAAATATCCCTCTTCAATAATATGTTGATCTTTCAAGTAGAGATATATTTGAAGAAAGTGATGTTTTTAAAACCATATATTGTGACTACTTTCTTTTCATTTAGGAAATAGCTATCAAATATCACTTCATGGGTAAGGCGCTGGGGTTAGGTGACATGGGGACATCTTGGTGAATCATAGAGGGAGTCCAGATCTGAGAAGGTTATGCCCCTACTCTAGCAAGGCAGATAAGACAAGCAGGCAGGAGATCAGACAGAGGACCGGAAGGCAAGTGTCGGGACAGCATCAGTGATGGAGTGCTACGGAGGTTCAGAGGGAAGGCGGATTACTCTTAGCAGGAATGTTGGCATTTATGGGAGGGTTTGTGGAGGAGGTGGTTCTTGAGCTGAGCTCTCAGTTATGTGTTCAAGAGGGAGGGGAGTTCTCAGGCAAGCCTTGCACTAATTCTACCAAAGAACAGAATGAATGGGACGTAAGTTTGAACCAAGGCCAAAGGCTGAGCACCAGCTGAAGACCCTCAACAGCCTCCACATCCACTTGACGGCACCAGTCGGTACAGATACCAAATGGTTTGGTTTGCAAAATACATCCATGAGCATACCTGAAGACCAGTGTCCACTATCTGACAACACGATTTTCATGTATAAAGCAGTTAAGAGTTTAACACAGCAAGAAATAGCTTCGAACAAAAATAAGAGAGAAAACATTGAAGTACCCACCTATTTATTATTAGATATACGCGACCATTGACTTTGGCATGGCTACGAGGTGGCAGACGGAAGCACAGGGATGCAATGAGGAGACAGGTTGGAGAGAAAGAGAGGAGACTGTTAGACAGAGACGAACAAAGTGGACTCCCTTAAGCTTCCTAGCATCAAGTGTAGCCACCCTCACAGGCTTCATGCCTTGAAGAAGAGTCTAGACAGCAAGATTCAGTAGCAACATTAAATCAGACAATGTTCAGGAAAAATGCTAAAAGATAACAAGCCTCTCCCTTCTTCTCATCCCTCTCCATCTCACACACTTTATTACAAATTTGTAATGTTTAAATTTTTTAAGGTACCTTTTTTTTTTTTTTTTCAGAGTCTTGCTCTGTCACCCAGGCTGGAGTGCAGTGACGTATCTTAGCTCATGGCAGCCTCCGCCTCCTGGGTTCAAGTGATTCTCCTGCCTTAGCCTCCCAAGTGGCTGGGATTACAGGTGTATGCCATCATACCTGGCTAATTTTTGTATTTTTAGTAGAGATGGGGTTTTACTATGTTGGCTTAGTTGGTCTCAAACTCCTGACTGCAGGTGATCCACCCTCCTCAGCCTCCCAAAGTGCTGCGATTACAGGTGTGAGACACAGTGCCTGGCCTCAAGGTACATTTTATGAAATAAAATATAATTTAAAAAATTAATTTTTGCTGCTACCCCAGAATTAAAAAAAAAAAGGATCCTACTCAGCGGCCATATTCAACATGTTGTTTTCTAAGGTTTTGCTAAAACTATAGTTTAAAAAAAGTCATTTCATTTCTCTATGCATAATAATACTTTCTAAAACAAACCTGCATAAATTAAAGAGCTATAAAAGTAATGAATATGGCCGGGTGTGGTGGCTCACGCCTGTAATCCCAGCACTTTGGGAAGTCGAGGCAGGTGGATCATGAGGTCAAGAGTTCGATACCAGCCTGGCCAATATGGTGAAACCCCCGTCTCTATTAAAAATAGAAAAATTAGCCAGGCATGGTGGCACATGCCTGTAGTCCCAGCTACTTGGGAGCCTGAGGCAGAAGAATCACTTGAACCCAGGAGGTGGAGGTTGCAGTGAGCCGAGATGGCACCACTGCACTCCAGCTTGGGCAACAGAGCGAGACTCCGTTTCAAATAAAAAAAAAAACCAGTAATGAATATTTAAATAGTCCTTTGTAAATCATTGCTAATTATATATTATATAATAAACAATGTTATACGTTATAATTCTTATAATATGAAATTCTATCAATATATAGGTGAAATAATATTCCTGAGATTGCCTCCTTAGGAATAATAATTTCTTCCTATATTATTACATTTTCATAAGGCTAACTTTGTAAATTCTGTAAGTCTAAACATAATAAATTCTGCTTCATACACAAGTGACATGTGCCTACATTACATCTGTGTGCATAAGCACATATACACCAACAAGTGACACAACAGGAAAATAAGAGTTGCATATCTCCAGAGACAACAGTGTGGAAATCAGCTTAACGAGCGAATCGGTTATTCCTGATCTGTGGGCCATTTCTTGTAAAGCAACTGTTTAGGAGGCAGGAGCAGAGAAAGCAAAGCCTGACAGTCAATCCTAACTCTCAAAATATTCCTTTTTCTTCATCATTTTGATTTTAATGTAGCCATTGTATTAGGACTCCAAGGACAAAAAATACTGTGAGGTGAAAATTATGAGCAAGGAAAATACTCCCATGAGGAAGAGTTGCTAAAAATATATATATATATTTAAACTTTGAACATTATATATATTATATATTAAGCTTTGAACATTTTATATATTATATGTAAAATGTTATAATTATATATTATATATTAATATATATCAATGTACATCATATTATATATCATATAATTATATATATCATAATATATATGATTATATATTATATGATATATTATATTATTATATGTAAACAATTATATAATATAATTATAATTATATATAAATAATTATATAATATATTATAATTATATATAAATAATTATAATATATTATAATTATATATAAATAATTATAATATATTATAATTATATATAAATAATTATATAATATATTATAATTATATATAAATAATTATATAATATATTATATAGTATATATATTATATTAAATAATATATATTATATTAAATATTATATTCTTATATTATATATATTATTATATTATATAATATATATTATAAAATTTTCATAGAACGAAAAATGAAATCCTATGTCCTTAAACTCTTCAGAGAACTGGCATTACACACTCTTTCCTCACCCTTTACATTTACTTGGAAAATTCACCGTTAAGGGAGTGCTTAGGGCTAAGCCACAGCTGCAAGGAAGGCAAGTCAGGACTCATATCGGTACAGATCATTTAGATCTTTCTTCTCTGCCATGGGGTGCAGGGTAAGGGCTGTGAAGCGGCAGCTGAGGAAACATAGAACCTACATCTTGACGTGGGCTGCAGTCTTTCCCCAGAACCTGCATAGGCTAAACACTGCTATACACGCTTAAAGGGAATTCTGTGGGACCTTAATTCAGTTTTCACATACGCTAGGTCCAAACCTTGGGAGTCTCTAGGCTGGTGAACCAAATTGTCTTCTGCAAAACTGTGGTCCTGCATGTTTCTACTTTTCTGGATAAATGGTGAATTATATCTCTGTTTGATTGCGTGACAGAAGACTCAGACACATCCACATTAAGAAAAATGGCAAGAAAAAGGTTCCTGCATGCTGGAGGCACTTTTAGTGAGAAAAAAAAATGAATATGCAAGAGAAGAAATGGCATTTGGAAGAAAAAAAAGATTTTTTTTTAAAAAAGATTTCACTAGCAATGCTTAATAATTACAACTCCTTCACAAACATATAAATTGGCTCTGCTAACTAAAATACTTTGTAATTATTGAATAGGGCCCTTGAAAAGAATGGTGAGGGCTTATAGTAAATTTAAACATGTTACATGGTCAGAATTAAATATCAAATACTAGTTTTATCCACACAGATCACAAACAATGTCAAAATAATGATTAAAAAAATCCTTTTTCTGATTATTGACAATTCTCACTTTTATGTGCAGGCATTCTCTTTGTAAACTTTTAAACTTGGGGTGATTTTCCCTCCCATCAAGTTTGTCTATGACTGATATCTTCTAGGGTTCCCCAAACTTCTAATAACTACTTTATTTTTCCTAATGCTTGATCATCACTGAAGGTAGCAGGAGTACAGATATGGAGATGGTAAACCACTGACCCCATCCATGCCCTCCTCCCTGCTGGGGCCTTGGGAGCAGAGAGGTTTTAGCAGAGCCTGATTTTCCTGGTGGCTAGATAGCAAAACAAGTCATGACTGATTGATACCTCTTGGTTCCATGGGTTACGAGTCATCTGAAGTATCAGAATGATAGGCGAAACACAACACAATAAGAAAAGTGAATCTGCTGGTCATAAACAAGGATTATAAAATGTTTCTCATCATTAAATAAATGTTTTGGGTCTATCCATAACTCTAGTTCCTACACAGCAGAACGCTGGAAGTTTGGCATTTTACGAAATGCATATCATGAACTCCTACTTCATCTTCTATTGATACCTGCATTTTTTCCCTTAAAGTCAAATAATTAAGGAGAATTTTCATCCGTGGCCTCTGTGCTCCTCTCAATACAGCCCTTTGCTCCCTTAGCTGCTTAACAAGTATTTTTCCAATATCTGAATCATAGGCTAAACATGAGGCAGAAAGGAAAACCATTGTCAGCGTTCACTAAAAGAATGCTTGTGATCTCCCCGTGATGGAACACAGTGAAGGATTTGTGATAACCCATTGTGGTTTGAATAAATACGGGCAGGAAAAGTAATATCCCATCTGTTATTTGCAAACAATGTATATTTATTGATGAGGATAAAACAGCCGTAAGCTGCTAAAAGAAGATATTGTCATCATGTTGTCCTCTTAAATATGATTGTAGTTACTAGTCAATTGCAGATTCTGTTTTTTCAGCCAAAGTTCTTTATTTCCAAAGTGGAAGGGAAAACTGCCCATCATCTTTTGCTATGCTCTCACAAGACTTCTGTACTTGTGGTTGGCATAATGGAAAAATCCTCTGAATTAGCCAGATTCCCTAAATGTTCTAAAAACATATAACCAGCCTAGACACAAATACACATATCAACTCTAAAATATTTAAGTCTCCACAGCTACTCTGAATATCTCACAAGACGATCAAGATCACTTTACATTAACCAGTCATAAGTCACTACCCATTGTTTCAGAACGTGTCACAGAATCTTCCACATGTTTTCCTCTTTTTCTCACAAGCTGATACTCATGGAAAATTCAAGGCTGAAACTTTTAGATTACTGGCTTCTCGCAAGGTGGCCAACCTAAGGTAGGGTTGAAGAGCTGCCTTCCTGCTAATAAGAGGTCTGTGTTTCTTCCAGTGGCTCACCTGTAGATGGTGTTGTCTTCTTTGCTGGGAATGGACTTGAGGTCTGTGAGTTCAAGGAACCGGTCATGGAAGTAGTGCAGGTGTAAAATGCACACCAGCAGAAAGGAGGTTGGGATGAATATGCGAGTGAATAGTTCAGCCACAGTAAACTGCTTTAAGCCAAGATCCTCAAGCCTGCAAAACAAAACAAAATAAAAAGCAGGAACCTCTCTTACGCAATGAAGTCACAAACTCTTTGTGATAAACTACATCACAGTCTTACACTCCTGTCAGGTCTATCGTTTATTGAATCCCTCTCTCCCATATGGTCCAATATGGCTTTCGTTTCCACCAAGCCAGCTAACCTACTTTAACAATGGTCAATAATAAACCTTGACATTCCCAAATTCCAGGACTATTTCTTCAGCTTTATTTAATTAAACCTCTGGTCCTCCTTGAAGCAAGTGTGGTCTTGACACCATCACACTCTCTTGGTTTCTTGTTCCTCCATGATCTCCCCCTTTTCTATTGGACCTCTAGAGGCTGAAATTTCCCCAGGACTCTGTTTTGATCTCTCTTCCAGCTGTGCTTTCCCCCTAGGGAAATCCTCTTCTGTGGATTTACACATCATCCTTACACCAAGGACTCAAAGTGCATCTACAGCGCAGGCTCCTCCTGTAAGATTCTCGTGCCCAAATTGCTACTGGAAATTGGTTGTTTCACAGTTATTTTATATTAGTGCTTCCAAAACAGTATTCTTGATTTTCCTATTTTTCTTGGCAAAGCTGTCCTCCACATCCCTCTCCCCACTCTAGTATCCCTGAACCAATAAATGGTACAACTGTCTACCCTGCGCAAACTGAGAAGTCAGACGCCTCCTGTGTTCTTTTCTTTCATATCTCATTCATCCACATTTCCTTCAGCATCCTAAAGCACCTCTTGAATTGCCCACTCCTGTTATCCGTCTCTGCCTCCACCAAATCTAGGGGAAGCTCCCATCATTTCTCACAGGACCGCTGCTGCTGCCTACTAACTAGTCTCCTTGTTTCTACTCCCACACATCGCTTTTTCTCAGCTAGTCAAGGGATCTTTAAAGATTGGAAAATTCCACCAAGAATAAAATACAAATAATGCTACCTACAAGCCATGCACATCCCAGCTGCCTGCCTGAATTCTCCCCACTCTTCGCTGTCCACTCACCCCCTGTCTTCAGTTCCTCTTATGAACTGTGCCAAACTCTGACTTGCCTCAGGACCTTTGCATGTGCTGTTCCCTCTGCCTGAAATGTCCTTCCACACCCCAGACTCCAACTCACACACTTTTCCTAAGACAAGCTTCTTCTAATGCTTCAACTGTAGTTTAAACCAGCTCCTCAGCAAAGCCCGTGCCAGTCACTCATTTATAGTTCCCCCTTACTCACTGCCTCAGCCTGTTGTCTGTTTCCTTCACAGACCTGTCACAAAGTATAATAGACTTATTTTACACTAAATAGTTTTGTTTGTCTCCTCTGCTAGAATATAAGATCTACAGGGCTTAGATTTTGTCTGTCTTGTTCCCTGTCATATTCCAGGCACAAAACAGTGTCAGCACATGGACAGCATTTAATAAATGCTTATTGTATAGACACTTCAGCTGTGTTGGTGTAGTTACACAGTTATCTTTCCCTTCTAAGGGACAGAGACTTTTAAGGGACTTCCCTTCTCAGCCACATCAATATATTCAGCTCAAAACCCAATGCTGGCTGGATTTCCAAACTAATTTCAGAAGTTTACAGAAGAAAATTAGAGAAGGATAGAGCACTATCTCCCACATGCACAGGAACACCATCTCATCATCACAAGTCTATGAGCACTTGGAGAAATTTATTTCTTTTTGGCGCTAAATACTCCTTAGAATCTAAGCACCCAGCAACATAAATGAGCAAAGTCTGCTACTTTATGTTATAAGTGCATGAACTTACTTAAGAACTGAAGAACTGAGCTCCAATGTGGAGGGCAGAAAGCACGACTAAGTGTTAGGTGTGTTTCACATGAAACTAACATTAGAAAATGTCATTTCATTAAAATTCTGAAAATTCATGGAGTGCCTATTATGTTCTAAGCTAAGGGCTAAGTAAAGAGAACACAAAAACGACTCAGTTTTAATTTCTATTATTGAGGAACTTATAGACATTGATGACATCATGCTTTACTAAAATCTTCCTTAAAGATGCTTTGAACAATATGCATTCAAGTCTTCATCTTGTTCATCATTTTCAACTCAAAATCACTTACTTTTCTTTTTTCAGTCCAGTCATATTTTGCCACAGGCCTGGGAAGTTCTCAAACTGATATGTGTATATAAAGATAAGCACCAGCATAGTGTAAATAACCACTGACATCCAAAAATATTTTAGAATTTTCCTCCACCATTCATAGTGCACCTGCAAATCAGACATTGAAAAAAAAAAATGAGAAAAAATCACTTTTAGGAAAACTCACAAAAATATTTGGTTTAATTCAAGTAAGACAAGTGATACATTTACAAGTGTCTGAAAATAAAGTCTATTTCATTTCTAGTTTTTAATGTTCCGTGTCTATCACAGTGGAGTGGTCCTGGGTTAGAACCCCAGTTTTATAAATGATTGCTAACTGTGTGGGGAAGAGGCTGAACCTTCCATAAGTGCCTATTTTGCAGGGTTGCTACGAGGATGAAATAGATATTGCTTATGGGTTCCTGCAAGCTATCTGGCCCATAGGGGGCGCTCAAGGAACAGTAGGGTAGGTGCTGCTGTCATTGTGGTTATCATTGCTCAGAGAAAACCACATCCATTTTGAAATTGAAAGCAATATTGTATGAATGAAAATGTGAACCAACCACAGAAAAAAGACATCTCGTTTTACCGTAAGCTGTGGATATTCATTAGAGAACATCCATCCTGAATTTTTAAGAGTATTCAAAAGTTCACTGATTTCTTTTGAGATTTTTTTATCTTAACATATTATGTACTCTTGTTTATTGTAGTTCCTTTATTTGTTTTGTTGGCTACCTGCAAGATATTTTACTCTTTCATGTGTTTCTATTATTGGGTTCTCTTTTATCATCAGTTAAAAGTGAGTCTGTGGAGAAGTAACTCATTTTAATGTATCTCATATATTAACTTATTTTAATGAATGAAATTCTTTTAATTAATGAAATATGAAAGCAGTCAATGCACTATACATATATATATATGTACACAAAGAGCAGGCACATGCCACACATATATCTTTTTCTGACCCTAAAGCCTGAAATGCAAAAGTATACCTAGGAATACTCTACGACTTCAGATTATCCAGCTTTTAAATTACTATTTTAAAATATAATTCAATTTTTACAGGCCAGGTGCGGTGGCTCATGCCTGTAATCCCAGAACTCTGGAAGGCCGAGGAGGGCAGATCGCTTGAAGCCAGGAGTTTGAAACCAGCCTGGCCAACATGGTGAAACCCCGTCTCTACTAAAAATACAAACATTAGCTGGAGGTGTTGGCACACACTTGGAATCCCAGCTACTTGGGAGGCTGAGGCATGAGAATTCCTTGAAACTGGGAGGCAGAGATTGCAGTGAGCAATGAGCAGAGATCACGCCACTACACTCCAGCCTAAGGGACAGAGCAAGACCCTGTCTCAAAAAAAAAAAAAGAAAGAAAGGAAGGAAGGAAGGAAGGAAGGAAGGAAGGAAGGAAGGAAGGAAGGAAGAAATAGAAATGTAATTCAATTTTACAGATTTTTTTTGATCAATAATTTTTGGAAAACCTATGTATGAACTTTTTCCTGATTTTTCAACAACCTAAAATTTTTATTTTTACTTTTTTTAGAGATGGCATCTTAATCTGTTGCCCAGCTGGAGTGCAGTGGTACAAGCATAGCTCACTGCAGCCTTGACCTCCTGGGATCAAGTGATCCTCCTGCCTTGGTCTACCAAGAAGCTAGGACTACAGGTGTGCCACCACAACTGGCTAATTTTTTAATTTAAGAAAATGTTTTGTAGAGACAAGGTTTCAGTATTTTGCCCAGGTTGGTTTGGAACTCCTGGCCTCAAGCAGTCCTCCTCCCTTGCCTCCCAAAGTGCTGAAATTACAGGCATGAGCCACTGCACCCAGCCCTGAAATTCTGAAATAGTAAACAAGTTGAAGACAGTCATTTCCCATTTTAGGATTCTTGGGATACGATGTTTGAATCTTGCCAATCACTTTATCCATGTTCATGAGATTCTAGTGATTTAAAATCTCTGCAGAGGTAGCTCATGTATACTCCTGGGAGAGATGTGAGAATTAAAATGGTCAACTGTGTACCTACCTGGTATAGGGCCACACAGAACAGGAACAGCACCATGTAGATGATTTTGTACATTACGATTTTACCCTCGAAGCTGACGAAGAAGAACATGCCTCCGCAGACGTAGATCCAGTACTTGATGAACATGGCCACCACCAGATTGCCCAGGACTTTCATGATGTCCTGCTCATCTTCTTCTTCAGCTTCCTCTTGCTCTACCTTCTTTCTCTCTTGCTTCTCTTCCTTCGCTTCCTCTTCTTCCTCCTCTTTGGGCTCTCCTTCCACTTGTATATCTTGAAGTTCCTCATCTTCAAATAGAAAACTGTGCTGTTATACTTAGCTGGTTATCTGTGCAGACCACACTTTGACCATGTGATAGGTATAGGATGTAGAGGCATGCATTTTCTAAGTTATTGTATAATTTGGATGATTTTAGACTATTCTCATAAACTCAGCAACATTTATAACTAGATTAAAAGTCAATTTTCATAACCTTCTCAAAATATAGTTTACAAGAAAATAAATTTGGTAACACTAATTTATATACAAGATCTTTTTTCTTTCTGATATCCAGTGATAGCTTTAAGTACTGTGAGATGTAAAAAATAAATAGGCAACAATAGCACAAATCTAAATGACTATATCAATTTCAAATTCTAATTGCTTCATGGCTCTAGACAATCCAAATAGTACTTTACTAAATGTGGTTAATGCTAACAATCTTAAACAAAAAGTATACTTTTAAATAACTAAAAATTTAAGAGTTACAGCAAAACATAATTTAATTTAAATTAGATTGAAAGAGTAATTGTAATTTAAGTTTAAAACAATTTAATGGATCAAAATAAAAAACTTATTTTGTGTTGCTTTAAAATACATAAGAGTCATCTCTGTGTTACACAGCCTTATATTTGAAGAACTTGAATAATTATTTCAAAATAATTATTGGGGTTAATTTGAATAATTTATTCAAACAACTAGTAGATTCACAGTGAGAAGAGTGAAAATCAAGTGAGGGCTCAGAGCAACAGTTGATCTCAAATTAACCATTTTTTACCAAAATTAACTGGTTAATTTAATCACTATGTTGAACAGAGACATCCAAACTCATACAGGCAAGATTTGAATCTTATAGACAGACTTTTGTTACTGAAAAACAACTCATTGTTTAGGTCCAAATAAGAAACTAAACATAAATATATGTGTGTGTGTATGGAGATATATATATGCCTGTATTCATTCTTATGGTTACTGGTTTAATCTGAAGGTGACCAGCCCAGCTTCTGTGGACATTTCTAGGCTCCTTTTCACAGACAGTGCTTCTTAACCTCACAATAGTCTTCAATCCATTCTACAAATATTAAATTTACATTTATTGGCATACCTAGGGAATTAGGGAGCAAGCTGTTCTTATTTTACCTATATAGCAGGTCTAAAATTATCAAGGTGATAACATCATCATCCTCTGTTTTTACATTGTGGTATACTATTGTTAAGAAAGAAGAGAGAAGTTTTAAATGTGAAAGATGTGACTTAGCTTCTTGTTTCCAGTACTCACTAGAAGTATGACCTGGGAGGAAGCATTTAATTTCTCAGAGCCTCAGTTTTTCTTTCATTGGGAATCACCTTCGTGAGGATCAAATGGCACTTTTTTTTTTTTTTTTTTGAGAGGGAGACTCGCTCTGTCGCCCAGGCTGGAGTGCAGCGGTGAGGTCTCGGTTCACTGCGAGCTCCGCCTCCCAGGTTCACACCGTTCTCTTCCTCAGCCTCCTGAGTAGCTGGGACTACAGGCGCCCACCACTACGCCCGGCTAGTTTTTTGTATTTTTAGTAAAGGCGGGTTTTCACCGTGTTAGCCAGGATGGTCTCAATGTCCTGACCTCGGGATCCGCCCACCTCGGCCTCCCAAAGTGCTGGGATTACAGGCGCGAGCCACGGCGCCCGGCCCAACTGGCACATTTTTAGCACTCCTGTGCAACTCTCACGTGTACCTCAAAAGTCACACGCTGTAATAACGTTACTTATTGCTCCAAGTTTACATTCCAGTTTCATTTATTCTGAAGCTGTCTGATGTATTTTGGGGCTCTTTCTCTGTAATTTTGCTGAGCACCAAACTCTCCAGCCACACATATACACTAATTTACCTTTTTCTTCATTTTCCTGACTGCCAATTTTGACTTCCGATAAAAGAGCTTCCTTTTCTTGCAGAGCTTTTTGCTCTGTGAGGTGCTGCCTCAGCAGTAGCCAAAAAGTAATGGTGAAAAGGATCTGAAAGTAGAGAAGCAGCAAAACAAGAATTAAGCAACCATTTGGAATGTAAAAACATTCAACAAATGTAACATTTTCTCCGCATTCCAGTGGGAGCACAATAAATAAACCTTTTTATTGGAGACAGAGTCAGGTCACCTGCTTGACTTCAGCTGAGATTCACTGCTTTTAAGTCCCTTTTCCGAGGATGCTCCCATGTTTGTGTTGGGTGCCAGAAGCACCACGCAAGTCCTGAGGAAGATGAACCCAACCTTTCTAACAACTTCCACCTGGGCAGGAAATCAGCTGCAACAGGTGGTCTTCCTTGAGGTGCTGGTCCGTGGTTGATTCCCTCCTGACTGTGACGTCATTACAATTGTAAAAGGAAGATGTACTTCTTGCATAATACTCCCTTGACTGCAATGTTCCTTATTTTGAAGAATTCCGTAGATGGGAAAAGGAAAATTTCATCCCAGAAAATAGAACCCCTTATTATTAATCTTTTAAAGCTGAAGGGACACTAGTTCTAAGTGCCCATGCTTTCATAGTAACATTTTCTTAAGGACTAAGAAATCAAAAACCTTTTGATTTAGGGGAACTCTATTGTTTAGGAAATACAGTACCTAACACACAGTAGGTTTATTGCTGTTGTTTTTGTTTGAGAGGGAGTTTTGCTCTGGTTGTCCAGGCTGGAGTGTAATGGAATGATTTCAGCTCACTGCAACCTCTGCCTCCTGGATTCAAGTGGTTCTCCTGCCTCAGCCTCCCAAGTAGCTGGGATTACAGGCATACACCACCACACCCGGCTAGTTTTTGTATTCTTTTAGTAGAGACGGGGTTTCACCATGTTAGCCAGGCTGGTCTCGAACTCCTGACATCAGGTGATCCGCCTGCCTTGGCCTCCCAAAATGCTGGGATTACAGGCATAAGCCACCATGCCTGGTCACACAGAGTAGGTTTTTAAAAATAGCTTTATTGATATATAATTCACATACCATGCAATTCACCCATTTAAATTGTCTAATTCAGTGGTTTTTAGTATATTCACGGAGTTGTGCAACCATCACTGCAATCCATTTTGCAACATTTTCATCAACCCTGTGTAAGAAGCCCCACGACAGTTGCTTCCTTTTCTCCCTATCTCAGCCCTAGCCAACCACGAATTTACTTTTTGTCTCTATAGATTTGCCTAATCTGGAAATTTTATATGAATGAAATTATATAATATGTAGCCTTTCATAAATGGATTGTTTTTACTTAGCATAATGTTTTCTAGGTTGATCCACTGGTAGCATGCACAGTTCTTTATCCCTTTTAAACACCCAATAATACTCCATTGTATGGCCATGCAACATTTTATCCTTTCATTAGTTAATAGGCATTTGGATCATTTCTATATTTTAGCTATGATGGATAATGCTGCTATGAACATTCACATACAAGTTTTTGTGTGGACAGATGGTTTCAATCCTCCTGGGTAAATGAACCTAGGACTGGAATTGCTGGTCTTATGGAAATTTTATGTTTAAAATTTTGAGGAATTGGCACTTTGTTTTCCAAAGTTGCTGCACCATTTTACATTCCCACCAGCAGTGTGTGACCATTTCAACTTCTCCATGTCCTCAGTAGCACTGGTTATTATCTGCCTTTTTAAAAATTATAGCCATTCTGGCTGGGCACTATGGCTCACGCCTGTAATCCCAGCACTTTGGGAGGCCGAGGCAGGTGGATCATGAGATCAGGAGATCGAGACCATCCTGGCTAACATGGTGAAATCCCGTCTCTGCTAAAAAAAATACAAAAAAATTAGCTGGGCGTGGTAGTGGGCGCCTGTAGTCCCAGCTACTCGGGAGGCTGAGGCAGGAGAATGGCGTGAACCCGGGAGGCGGAGCTTGCAGTGAGCCGAGATTGCGCCACTGCCCTCCAGCCTGGGATACAGAGCAAAACTCCGTCTCAAAAAAAAAAAATGTGCTTTACAAATGTTATTGTAATAGAAATGTTATAAGCCTGGAGATGTATTACTATCTTCTATGACAAAACCTTGCACTTTTTCTGAGTTCCTGGGTGCATTAAAATATAAGTGCAGAACCTAGGTTCCCGGAGTAACTCTTTTTTTCCACGAGTAACAAATTTATTTCCCAAATAATGTTTTCCTCCTAAAGAACTGTTAATTTTAGATTCGACAGGAGACAATTCAACTAGTGACTTGGCATGCAATTTTAGCAGTTTCATTGCTATTCGGAGTGAGACTGTGATGAATTTACACAGTCAAAAGAAAATAATTTTGATTTTTTAAAATAGAATAAGACTAAGTTACCAATTGTGTGTGAATATGTGTGTGTGGGTCTGTGTTTAAGAGGAAAGAGGGAGAGAGAGTAAAAGAAAAGAGTGTTAGATGAAGGTGCCTTGTAAGTGAGAGTATAACGTGGGATTTTCAGCATGGAGAAGCAGGCATAGGAGTTTGGGATGAATGAATCAATGAATGACATTCCCTTGGTCCATGAACACAGGGGTTATATTCTCACCTCTGTCACTAGAATTCACCTGTTGGATTGTGTTTCATTTACCCCAGTAGCTCTTCACCCAAAAATCTGTTACGAAGACCAAACTTTGCCCTAGTCTACTCTACCCCATTTACACCTGCTTGCCTTGGATATGGGGTGTGTGGCAACCCTTAAAGCGGGCACTTGCTCCCAGGAAAGGTGAATTTCATGTAATTCATGAAATGACCATCTCCTCCAAAGACACTAATTTCCAAGACCCATTCAATATAAACACGTTTATTTTTACTGTCTTAAAACTAAATTATTAACACAAAGGGAATGTGTGTTTAGTCTGCCATTCTGTTAACAAAACAAACAGTAAGTTGGGAAACCTAATCTTTTGAAATAAAACTGTTAAAATGGCCCATGAAAGCAAATAAGTAATGAGAAGAGTATGAACATTCTAACTCAGATAAGAACATATCATATAATCAGTAGAAGAAAAACAGCAAGTGTCATACTTCATTTTTGCTGCTAAAAATGTTCTTTAGGAAAGAATTGGAGAAAAACGTCATGAATAATCAATACTTATCTGTGACACTAATGCACTAAGCATGTTTTATAAAATGATAATCAAAGACAGTCCTATAATCCCTTAACACATTTTGCACTGTATTTTCCTATTTTCACACCTAATTTTTACTCTAGTAGGATTTATACTTAAAAACATTTATACAAGTTTTCTTTGAGTGGAAAACATTGTCATTCCTAAGTAAAAGCTAAATCATGGTGTAATATATGTTCATGTTTAAATTATAGAGGCCTCTAAGCACCGCAAACTGTTTCTTACAGTCTCATGTTTGTTCATTTTTACAAAGCAGTGAATATTTGGAACCTGTTTTTATAAGGTTTCTCTTGGATACGATTATGATGATGATTGTGGTTTTGTGTCATTGTTTTGTTTTATTGTATTCTATTCACTTACTTTGGAAGCAAGTTCTCCTGGCTCTTTCTTTTCTAAAAATCCTGGAACTTTTTTAATTTCAGGAAGTTCAAAACTCCATATATACTGTAATATCAACAATAGGTTTCCATAAACCACCATGAAGGGAGAGCTGATCATGGCATATTTTCTTCTGTTGCGAATCATCCAAAGAGTGCACGACCAGATCAGCAGCACGAAGGTCAGCCAGCTGTGATAGGTGATGCTCCAGGCCTCCGGAGGACAGAAAAGGAAACACGACCATGGTCAATACAATGCTCAGTCCCCCCCGCCCTGGTAAGGTAAAAACTATCTAAAAAGAAAAGGTCATAATATTCAAACCAGGGAGAGTAGAGAGTTGTGGTGGAGTGATGGAGACCCCAAGCCGTGGAGTGGTGGCTTGGAAGGCAGGAGGTTTTAAAGCTTTAACATTGTAGCTCCATTAACACAGCAGAATGGTACCGGACAAGGGCACATTTTTAATGAAGGATTGTGTTGTTTTTACAATAGACTTTTTTCAGTTAAGTAGCAAAATGTGTATTCAAATATTTTATTTTATTTTATTTTATTTTATTTTATTTTATTATTTTATTTTATTTTATTTTATTTTATTTTATTTTATTTTATTTTATTTTATTTTATTCAGCTCTATTGCTTTAAAGAAAAGACCAAACTTATCTGGCTTAGAGAGAAAAAAAAATGGTATACTCCTGTGAGCTCAGAATGAGAGATTTGCTGCAGTTTAAAGTAGCAGTTGATGTACAGAAAATGTCAAAAAGTAACCAAAGAACACAGAACTAATTTTATTTGAAGAATAGAGCTGGCAATCCCCAAATTAGCCTCTTCAATTTTGTGGTGCTTTCTTTTTCCCAGTCTCCTCTCACATGTGGCTGTGTTCCTTACTGGAAACTGAAGTTGAGCATACACAGGTTCATCTGAGAAGCACCTGGACTGAGTGCCTGGGGAAACCGTGCCTAGGTTCTGTGTCCCTTGAGTTAAAGAATATTTTTATTTTTATCATCAAAGGTGTCCATAGGATCTCACTGTTGACCACAGAATTTGGAAGAGTTGTATTTTAAACAAGAATATTAGGTTTCTCAAAAATAAATCAAATTTCCTAAGAAAATTTGTTTTTGGGAAAAGGAGAGATTATAGCTTCTTTTATCTTCTATCTATGGGCCAAGGGTCTGTTTTGAAGGTGTGATGTTGCAGATGGTGAGTAGAAACACACATAAACTGAGAGCTCACAATTGGAAGGTGCTCTAGGGAACCACGGTTGCTTGATGCTCATATTGGTAAAACATTATTGCTGCTGGCCGGGCTTGGTGACTCATGCCTGTAATCCCAGGACTTTGGGAGGCCGAGGCGGGCGGATCATGAGGCCAGGAGATCGAGACCATCCTGGCTAACACGGTGAAACCCCGTCTCTACTAAAAATAAAAAAAAAAAAAATTAGCCGGGCGTGGTGGCAGGCGCCTGTAGTCCCAGCTACTCGGGAGGCTGAGGCAGGAGAATGGCGTGAACCCGAGAGGTGGAGCTTGCAGTGAGCTGAGATTGTGCCACTTCACTCCAGCCTGGGCAACAGAGCAAGACTCCATCTCAAAAAAAAAAAAAAAGTTATTGCAGCTAAGAAGGAATTACGTCTCACCCAAATCTAAGATAAGATGTGAATATAACTCTCACTATCTGAAACGAATAAAAGTAGCCTATGTTAACCTTGAAGACCTTCAATGTCATTTAAAAAAACTAATATGTCCTCTCAAATTGGCAAAATAAGAGATAGTCTGACTTGACAAGCTAATTTGGAAGAAATGTATTAATACTTAAAAGGAGGATAAATAGAATTGAAAAGGACACAATTTTACAATCTGTAGTATAAATATCCCATGAAAAATTAACGCAGCTGACCGTTCTCTGCCAAGGCATTAGGGGGATCCCTATACTTCTGCTAGCCCTGAGAAGATAGCAGCACTTAGAGCCAGTGGGACTGTGGTCTCCTTTCTCCAGCACCCTGGCAGCCGCCACTCATACATACCATCATATCATACATACTGTCATATCATACATACCGTCATATCATATCATACATACCATCAGATATTGTACACACCATCATATCATACATACCATCATATCATATCTTACATACCATCATATATGTACTATCATGTCATATCATACATACCATCATATCTTATATACCATTATATATGTACCATCATATTATACATACCGTCATAGCATACATACCATCATATCATATCTTACATACCATCATATATGTACTATCATGTCATATCATACATACCATCATATCTTATATACCATTATATATGTACCATCATATTATACATACCATCATAGCACACATACCATCATATCATATTATACATATCATCATATTATACCTACCATCATATCATACATACCATCATATCATATCTTACATACCATCATATATGTACTATCATGTCATATCATACATACCATCATATCTTATATACCATTATATATGTACCATCATATTATACATACCGTCATGGCACACATACCATCATATCATATTATACATATCATATTATACCTATCATCATATCATACATACCATCATAGCTATGAGGGCACAGATGTAACTTTGTTTCATAATAAATTGGAATACGGAGACCATGGCATGAACTTTGATACTTCTTTTTTCCTCACGGCTCCTTTCTTCTTCAAATTCTTCTTTCTCTTCCTCTTCCTCCTCTCGCTTTTCTAGATGGACGAATACTTTATTTAACTATTTATGCAAACATGTGACATTTGTATAAATGTTCCAAGCAATGCAGCACATGTATGGTTTTGGTATAGCCTTTTATTTAAGATTTCAGAAATTGTTTCCCATTCATAAAGCCCTTAAAATTCAAACAGAATCAGTAAGTTCTGCATGGTCAGTGTAATGGGATCTAGCATGTGATAATTGAGAAAGGAAAATTTCCATGTAAGAAGATACGGAATGAAGCCTCTAAACCTGTCATCAGAGCCCCCACCTCCTGGTGTTCATGCTGTTGTGTGGGCCCTCTCCTCGAGTGTGGGTGGGACCTGTGACAAGCTTCTTCTAACACAAATAGGGCACTCTAGAGGGGATGAAGGGTCACTTTCAAGATTCTGTTTAAAAAGACTGTGGTTTTCATCTTGAGTGCTCTCTCTTATTCTCTCACCTGCTTGTCCTCAGACAAGCCAGCTACCATGCTGTAAACAGCCCTATGGGGAGCCCCAGGTGTGAGAACTGATGGCTCTGCCAGCCAGATGTCAGCAAGAGCCTGAGGCCAGCCAATAGCTACACAGTGAGCCTGGGAGCAGATTCTCCCCCTCTCCGACAAGCCTTCAGCTGAGATAGCAGCTTGACTGCAATCTCATGAGCAACCTTGAGCCAGAGGAACCAGCCTAGTGATGGCCAGGTTCCTGGTCCAGAGAAAGTGTGTCATACTAAGTGCTGTTCTAAGCCACTAAGTAGACTGCCCTTTCTGCCTTTCTTGTTCAAATCAAATGGGCTATGTATAGGTGGGTTACAGGAGAAAGTTTCTTAGCAGCATAAAGAGGTATAAATGACTGAAAAATCAGTGACTGTGCATACTACTCCACATGGGCTCTGCAATGAGACGATGGTGTGTCCTTGGCAGAAGCCCACTGGCTCTCATTCTTCCTGCAGTAGGACTGGATGAGCCTGCAGTTTATACAAAAAGTCCCTGGGATCATAGACAGGGGTGAAAACACCAAATCTGATGGATTTTAGAGTTACTGCCATGCTGCTTCTCTGGTTAACACTTTTTGTGTATATAGATTTAATTTTTAAAATCTTTCCAGCTTTTGTTTCACTTTTGAAAGCCCAGTTTATGATTTCAGTATGTCTGGGTTGTCCGTGTCAGCACGCAAAATTCAATTTACTTGTCCACATGAAAGTAATGGGTAAGTAGAAGGTTGTCTAGGCTGTGACCCCAACAGCTCAAACGTCAGAAGCCACAGATGCTGACTCTTGGGCCCTGTGTGTTTGCTTCTGGTGCTCATGCTCTGAAGAGCACACTGGAAAGCACTGTGTTTCCTTGAACTTTCCAGTTTAAGCCTGAGCTGCAAACTAAAACACATACATGCAGGAAGCAGAAACAGGGAACGAAACAGTAGAGTTTGAAGCTATGCAGCTCTCAGGTGTCATCATGGGTTGGGTGTGAGGGTGGGGTGGGGGTGGTGGCTGACCTTGATTTAACCTTACTGCGGAATGTCAGATAATATGACTAACCAGTTGTACAGTTAAGTATTAAGAAGCCCTGTGGGGCAACTCCAGGAAGTACTGATACAGAATTATGAAGAACAGACATGAGAATAAACCTGATAAAGAGTTATGCGAAAAGGCCCTTGGAGTATGTGTGATGTACCACAGATGCAAATTGGAGAGCTGTGGCCACTCACTAAAGGCACGACAAGGTCTAAGAACTCTGGCTGTAATTACATACAAATAGAGATGCAAATCCACTCTAGTTTTATAGTCGCTTTGTAATTCTGTCTTTATGGATTGGTGACAGGCAATTGGTCCCTTGCAGGGGCAATGACAATAGAGGTCCATCTAACTGCTGTTTTGTAGAGGTGAGGGACTAGTGTTGCCAGACCTTCACAGTCTTCAAGGGATTCCAGAAGTGTCCATTTCTAGGTCAGAGGTGCAGCTTTTTAAATGATGGCTATTTGAATTTGTTTTAAATGCTGCGCAGACCAAAAATCAAATCTGAGAGTGAAACTCAGCCCCAAGTCACCAATTTGTCATCTTTAGTAATAGTGGTCTCCTTCAACATAAACAACTGAAAGAAAAGGGAGACAAAAAGCCTTGCAAAAGTTAAGACAACCTCGTTTTTTAAAAAATGGACAAAAAAAAGGACTCTTAAAAAACACTCAGCCGGGTGCGGTGGCCCACCCCTGTAGTCCTAGCAGTTTGGTAGGCCAAGGCAGGTGGATTGCCTGAGCTCAGGAGTTTGAGACCAGTCTGGGCAAAACAGTGAAACCCAGTCTCTACTAAAATACAAAAAATTAGCCAGGCGTGGTGGTGGGCACCTGTAGTCCCAACTACTAGGGAGGCTGAGGCAGGAGAATGGCGTGAACCCGGGAGGCAAAGGTTGCAGTGAGCTGAGATCGTGCCATTGCACTCCAGCCTGGGAGACAGAGCGAGACTCTGTCTCAAAAAAAAAAAAAAAAAATTCATATATTAACCAGGAAAACCACTGACCATAATTACAATATCAACTAAAAGAAAGACCAACATATGTATAGATGCTATACCTAAGTTGACATGTTTAAAATACTATTTTCACCTTTTATTTTAAAAGTTTGCCTCAATTATGTCACTTACTTTGTATACAAGGATAGAACACAACTAGCAATATGCTGGGGCAAAATGCAGGCAGAACTTAAAGAAGTGAGGTTAATGACACTGACATGGATACAGTTTTTAAAAAAATAAAATAAGCAACAACAACAAAAAGAGAGAGGCCAAGCTTCTAAATGAGGAAGAAATGCGACCCTGAGTGCAGGGCTGGCTCCTACCTGAGGATTCATCAGAGGGCTCCCACCGGTACTGAGGGGTGGAGTAGAGGTCGGCTTTGCCAGGGCCGTTCTCCATGGGCAGGCTTGGGTGGATGGTGTGGTAATCCACGGGGTTGCCGTTCACAGTCACCAGCAGGCCCTGCCGGGAGTGCAGAGAAAGGGACAACTGTTACAGCAGCTCTGGGTTTTCAATGCAGACATACCCCCACTTCCCTTCCTCCACCCTAACTGAACAGTGAGGAGTTGATTACAAGCTGAATAACTTAGCCAATTGCCCAAATATTTTAGTAAGGGGAATCTTGTACATTCCCTCTCCAACTCTAGTCTCCACAGAGTGATCGCAGGAAAATGTGCATCTGATCTTGTTGCACTTTGCCTGAAACCATGCTTCGCACCTGCTGTCCTCAGTATGAAGAGCAAACTCTTGTAAATGGCTGAAGGAGGCCTTCAAGATTTGGTCTGATCTTTCCAGCCTCAGCCTTTGCTACTGTCCACCTCTCAGCCATCCCTCCATCTATATGGGACTCTAGACCTTTCTTGGGCTGTGGTCCAACATTGTCCTGCCTATGCCCTATGTGGCTCTGCACAGGACTAATGCAAACATCCCTTGGATCTCAGCTAAGGCATCACCCTCTGGGGATCTCTGCCTGACTGCAGGTTGCTATGTCCTTACTACACCACTAAGTACAATTGCTTGTTTCATCCTTCTGTCTCTTTGGCTTTACAATTTTTGAGATAAACATAACACCCACCAATACACAGGTGTATGTGCGCCCATGGGCATGCAAAACTTCCTACTTACGAATTAGGCATAGCTACAGAACAAAACACTTTTTAAAAAGCCCACAAAGCTTCTTAAAATTTAAATATATTTTGTATGATTATACTCAATTTCATTTAACAGCAATCTACCAGATATAATTTATGCCCAAAAATGGAAAAGCTTATGGAAATTTTAATAGATCATTAAAATAGACTCAAAGGAGCTACTTCCATTTGTTGCCTTTACATCACTTACACATGCATAAATGATAATTCTAAGGGTATACTAACATCAGATGGTTTGTAGTCATCCTGGGTCATGGATAAAAGCTGCAAAAAGCAATGCGGGAAAGCATGTTAGTAAGGAAGCTGAAAGCATTTTACTGTTTATGTATCTATAAAGTTTTACTGTGCACAAGCCCATTCTCTTTAACTTGCTGATTGCTAGTATATTAATATTGCCATGCAAAATATAAAAGGACAAATAAATGAGCTGGATGCTGCTGTTTATGACAACTATTTCACAGCTCTTGATGTTAATGTTTAGTTATACAGCAGATAAGCAAGTCTATAAATGTTACCATGTTTTTCAAGGGTTATGTTCTACAAGAATAAGCGCTTAGTTTTGTACCCGTTTGAGACATCTGCAGAATTCTGAATGTATTTATGTTTCAAGAAATAGAATTTTCATAATAAAGAAAAATTGGGCTCGGCGCGGTAGCTCACGCCTGTAATCCCAGCACTTTGAGAGTCCAAGGCAGGCAGATCACGAGGCCAGGGGATCGAGACCATCCTGGCTAACACAGTGAAACCCCATCTCTACTAAAAATACAAAAAATTAGCCGGGCGTCGTGGTGGGTGCTTGTAGTCCCAGATACTTGGGAGGCTGAGGCAGGAGAATGGCGTGAACCCGGGAGGCGGAGCTTGCAGTGAGCCGAGATCCCGCCACTGCACTCCAGCCTGGGCGACAGAGCGAGACTCCGTCTCAAAAAAAAAAAAAAAAAAAAAGAAAGAAAAGAAAAGAAAAATTGATTTGTAATGTGGTTAGAGATTATTTTAAGATTTGCATACTGTCTACAACAAAATGATTATTATATGACTCTACTTTTTAACTAGTAATACATTACTACCAGGTGATTTGGGCTTCCCCCAAATAATAATTAGCACAGCAAGTGGTTCTACCACAATTTTAGGTCAGTACTCATTTGCATTCTTAAAAATCACTGAGGGTCCCAAAGAGACTTAATTTATGTGGGTTCTATCTATCAATTATCTACCATACGAGAAATTAGACCAGGTAGTCTTAAAATACTTATTTACTTATGTATTTATTCATTAAAAATTTAAAAAAACCCATTGTGTGTTAGTATAAATAATTTAAATAGTTATTTTTTAAAACAAATAGTGAAGAGAGTGTCATTGTTTTATAATTTTGCATATCTATTTAATGTCTAGCTTAATAAAAGACAACCGGATTTTCACATCTGCTTCCGTATTCAATCTGTTGTGATGTGGTGTTCCGGTTGAAGTAGATAAAGAAAATCTGGCTTCACATAGGTATGCAATTTGGTCAAAAAGAAGTATTTTAGTGCCGGGCGCAGTGACTTATGCCTGTAACCCTAGCACTTTGGAAGACCGAGGCAGGCGGATTGCCTAAGCTCAGGAGTTCAAGACCAGCCAGGGCAACATGGCAAAACCACATCTCTACTAAAAATTCAAAAAAATTAGCCAGGCGTGGTGGCACATGCCTGTAGTCCCAGCTACTTGGGAGGCTGATTCAGGAGAATCGCTTGAACCCAGGAGGCAGAGGTTGCAGTGAGCCAAGATCACACCACTGCACTCCAGCCTGGGTGACAGAGCGAGACTCTGTTGCCAAAAAAAAAAAAAAAAGGTATTTTAATAATCTGTCTAAATAACTGTGGACAGTCTTTGCTACTCGATCAGACTCAACCAGTGTAGTCTTGAATGTCAGTTGTAGTGCAGAATCTGCAACCATATCAGTGAACTTTTCATACATACTCTGCTACATTAAAACCCATTGGCATATCATGCACCCCGACTGGATCATTTATCCACGTGCTGTCATGTCAGGTGTTGGTGAGTCGGAAACTGCTGTTTCAGTGAGTTACAGGTATCGAACTCTACCAAATACTGACAAGTTTCAGTATGCCATGAGTAAAAAGCACATTTGTCAATATCACCTCATCTCATCAGAAAAGTCCACAAATATTGGAAAGTTTTTAAGCCCTCAGTAGATATGAATTTTCAAAAATTCTAATTTTTACTCAAATGCTTAAATTTTATCACTGGTAACAATTATTGTCCGTTGTTTGCCTCAAAGTGATGAGCTCACTTCATTTATTTTCAAGTAATTGTCTGCCAAATACCCAAATCAACCAAATACCCGACAGAGTAAAATTATTTTCTGCAATATAGTTCAGCACTGAAATTTTCACCCTCCAGTGCTAACAGATTGCTTTGCTACTTTTGTTTGTTTTAATTACAAAATTATTTTTTAATAGGAACATTCTTTTTAAGATTAGGAGATTTCAGTAGAAAGCACGGAAATATAAAATGATGTTCTTGACGGGATCTGGGTATTTTCTTTGGAAATAGTTTTCCCTCTCTGGTACTAACTCTCCTAAATCACTGTTTCTATAAACTACAAGCAACCTGAATATGATATGATATATATGATATTATAAGGCTCATATTCAACAGTAAAATACAAAAACAGAAAAATTAGGGAACGGAAATCCCTTTCATCATGGCTTACTTTTCTCTCATCAGTGGGGTAATGGGTTGCGTACCACAGGCTCCGCCTCCTCCCCGCTGTTATTTGGATGGGGCTACAAGCCAGGGCTTTGTCCTCTTCTTTGGTCCCCTCATCCTGCACCTGAAACACAGAAACAGGATCAGTCTTGCTTCCTGAGGCAGTTCCCTAGACAGCCTGGGTGGCCAAGACAGAGCTTTTCATTTTGGCTCAGTATGATGACTTTTCAAAGTGAATGTTTACAATATACAGGATTTTATCAAGACACTTTAAAAAATGACAAAAATACCACCCTGTAATTGTAAGTACACCAGTATTAAATGTCCCCTGATTCTACTAAGCCCCATGCATTACAGAATATGCTCCATTGTTAAATATCCACAGCTTTTCCACGTGCATTCTCAACTGCACTCAAAAGCAGAGATGCACATGGCTCTTAGCCAAGAGCCTTCACAAAGGTGCGCGGTTAACCGTGTAAGCCAGCTGCCGGCAATCTTCAATTAAGACTGGATGTATTGAAGGCAGAATCATCTAGAGCTCACACAGCACTAAGCAAGAGCGTATCTATGCACATGAGACATTTGCCTAAATTAGACAACTGGTCTAGGAAAGGTGATAGAGAGGAATACGAGGAACAGAAGCGCTTCGGTGCCTTAGCATGTTTTCCCAACAAAAGTGTCCTAGTGAAAAGGGCAGTCAGGCATCACTGATACTGGAGTGGAGTGGACTTAGTCTCATTGTCTGGGTCCCAGTGCACCAGAGTAGAACTCCTAAGCAGGGCACCCTAACTCCCTGGGAGGGGCGTTACATTTGCCAGGTGGGGGCCACATATTACACTGAAGTCTCGACACTGACTTTTCTCTCTCTCTTTTTCAAACATGTTTCATAGATGTCTACTTCAGCACTCACATTTGGTGGCCGGTATTTTTCATTAAATGCACCAGGTCACCTGGAACTATGATATAATCAGCTTCTTTTTCTCATTGACTCAATGCAACAGGCCTTCCGTCCCAGCCCATTTGAAATAGAGCCCACATGAAATGTTGATGATAGTTTGAAGCCCACTTCTCTACATACCCCTGCAGACCTCGTGATTTATAACATTGCTGTTGCTGTGTGGCCTATAGCCTAGAAGGTCTTCCCGGCTCTCTCTCTGCTACCTTTGCTTGCCAGACAGCACATGGCAGTGGAAGCAGAATATCGCATGGACCCAAAGTTATAACGGAGCCCTCATCAAGCTACTGCATTATCCAAGAGATGACATGGGATATCCCAGAGAAAGCAAATGGGCTGGGAAATCTTAATAACTAGAAAGCCTTAAAGTAATTTCCATAATGTATAAGAGTTTGTTCAGAAATAGTTCCCATCGTGGTGGCTCATGCCTGTAATCCCAGCACTCTGGGAGGCCAAGGCGAGTGAATTACCTGAGCTCAGGAGTTCCAGACCAGCCTGGCCAACATGGCGAAACCCCGTCTCTACTAAAAATACAAAAAAATTAGCCAGGCGTGGTGTCGGGCACCTGTAATCCCAGCTACTCAGGAGGCTGAGGCAGGAGAATTGCTTGAACCCAGGAGGCAGAGGTTGTGGTGACCCGAGATCATGCCATTGCACTCCAGCCTGGGCAACAAGAGTGAAACTCCATCTCAAAAAAATATATATGTATATTTAATTTTTTATGTACATGTTTTTATTTGTGAATATATACATATACATATGCATGTTTGTGGAGGAATTGGACACAATTTTAATGATTCTACTGGCACAGTCAAATTTTAGAAGAGAACTGAAGAAAAATATAACACAACATGACTGGGATTCCTTACCACCCATAAATCATTTTGTTACTATACAACTGTCATCAGTGGCCTAAAAGAAAGATGATCCATGAGAACCCTGCTAACAAGGATGGCCTCTGAGACCCTAATCCCACAGATGGCTGTTAGCCACTGAGATGGGGGGGAGGTAGCACATAGGAGGAAGACAGCACCATCCTCATTTCTGCAGGTGGCGCTTCTGTCAGGGATGACCGGAGCCATGCGCCTCCTGCAGTTTTACAGTCACTATCTGATTTACAACCTGTTTGCTTCTCTTGGACCATTTTTCTCTTTTAGAATGTACAGCTCTCTAAGTGGGGCCCTGCCTACTGAAGTCATTGCTCTATGCTGGCCCCTAGGTTAGTTTCAGATCCAGTTGGCCTTCCATAAATACTCATTGACTGGCTGACTGATGAACATGTGGGAATGGTCTGTGGGTACAAAGACAGACAGAGAAAGTAGGGAACTTCTGCAGGGCCTCAGGCTAGAAGTGATTCGGAGGAGGGGGACTGGAATGCAGAGACTCAGGCTGGGCCATGCTCATGAGAACTGTCCCCAGCTGTAGGGTTCCCCGCAGGTGGGGCCTGAAAAGGTGCGGCCACCCTGTCTACACAGCTTGTCTCCTTCATGTGTCAATAAGCAACCTTGCAACCGGGCTCCTGACAGTCATTTAGGGGAAAGAAAAGCAGGCTGATATTTTCTGTCACTGAAGGAGAAAAGAGAGAAGAGAAGCCACCCAGGCTTCAGTCCTCCCCTCAGAAATGCTGTGTCCTTGTTCATATTTTCATAGGGAATAAACACCCTCAGTTGTGCTGGAAGAATATTCGAATCCCCATCCCTCACAAGGGGATACTCAGGAGGCAACAGGCACCACCAAGAGCTGGGCTATCACTCCATCTTCACAGGCTAAGAGCGCTGGAGGAGATTTGGGAAACACCAGTCCTCTTGATAACAGGGGTGTGTGTCTCTGAGAACTGAGCTTTGTTGTCAAATGTGGATTAGAATCTGATTTGTACCATCCAGTAAATGTGTGATTTTAGAAAAACTGACATCTCTAACCTCATTTTCCTCATCTGTAAATGGGTATAATACCTATTCTATTGATCAGAGTTGTTTAGTTTATTAAATGAGATAATGTATGACATGGCATATTACAGTAAGTGATCAGCAAAAATGAGTCTTCTGTTCTTCTCACTGCCTGCCATTCTTACCAGCAGTTTGTGGTAGTAAAGGGAAGCTAGTCTTTGATCTGATAGTATTTATATTCACTTAATACTCTTTGCAGAATTAAAACATCATACCCAGAACACTAGAGTTGTGTTGGAATAGAGTATCGATTAGTCAGTAGAGAACAGGAGTGAATCATTTCACGTGGAGATTCTAGGTTACTTTGCAGACAAGATCATGAAAATGTTTTTGTCCTTACAAGGGGCTCTTGCAGCCAGATGCGGATCAGAGTGGCCAGAGTGTAGTACATCACCAGCAGGAGGATAGGGTTGGCGTGGTGGTACCACGACAGGTCCGGGTTCACTATGATCTTCCAAGTACTTGAACAGTCCGTTTGAATTACTGACTTGATACCAAACAACCTGTTAAAAAACAAAGAAAAATGCTTAAAAGATGCAATAAGCTATATGTCTCCAACATTGAATAAAAGTACTTTGTTTTTGATACATTCGTGAGCTATTCCTAGGTTGATCCGTTCTATTGTAGATATTTCAATTACCCTTCTGTATACGTAATTACATATTTAAAGAATATATGTGGACATGTATGTATAATATGCATATAATATATACATTCAGTAATCATATGTGTATGTATAAAATTGACATCAACATTAACCAGAAGATCTTTACATCAGTTCAAAAATCCAGTTAATACTAAATTCTTGCACATCTATTAGAAATGTTTTAATTATTAATCAGCCCTATTAAAACCCTGTATTATAGAAATGCCAAGTATGTGGTAACATGTTACTAGTCCAGCTAAATGAGCAAATATTTTGTTTTTGGCTAGGTTCAGCATTAGTTGTACTCAGCTAGTGTTGACATTATTGGGCTAGTTCTACAGTTTAGCCATGAAAGTCAAATATACAGTAAAATTTCTGTAAGATATATTTCTATCAAATACCATTTATGAGCAATTTGATTTTTTCAAAGCATAGTAACTAATCATTTTCTTTGAAATATGACTTTGAGTCTGTTACATTTTGAAATGTTTAATTTTTATGCTGATTTCTACTAATCAGAATGTGTCTGATTATATAATGGAAAACTGTGTAAAATATGACTCATTTAGAAATTCATTTTGATGGGCAATTTTTCTAAGAAAAGACTCTACTAAATGCATAAAACTTTATAGGTTAAGTGAGTTTCATACCTTTCTACTGTTTGCATCTTTTATTTATTTTTTGTTTTTGAAATGGGGTCTCGCTCTGTCACCCAGGCTGGAGTGCAGCAGCATGATCACAGCCCACTGCAGCCTTGAGTGCCTGGGCTCACATGATCCTCCTGCCTTGGCCTCCCAAGTCGCTAGGAACACAAGGGTATGCCACCATACCCAACTATTATTTTTTTAATTACTTGTAGAGACAAAGTCTCATTATGTTGCCCAGGCTGGTCTCGAACTCCTGAGCTCAAGTGATCCTCCCAAGTTAGTCTCCAAAAGTGCTGGGATTACAGGTGTGAACAATTGCACCCAGCCTGTTTGCACTTTTATATGTGAATTTCCTTTCATTTTTATCTTACATTCTTCAGTTATAGAATCTTCAAAGGCTGCATGCCTTCCACTTGTAAAATCTCTCAGGGTGAATGCTGTTTTCTATCACAATGCAAGTGTAATATTAGTGTATTGATGAACACAGATTTTAAAGTAAGCTAAATAGATATTAAACTAACTTTCTTCATTTTTATCAGAAATAAATAAGTTATGTCATAACTTGTTCTTATTATAAAATCTTTTTATCTTAAGTTCCAGACAGATTTATTTTTGGAGTTAGCATTTTAAATAACAATTTCCTGAGTGAAAAAAGTTATGCCCCACTTAGAATGGTAGAACTTTCTGAAAATGTTTTTGCAGCCCTAGATTAAAATGTAAATTTCTTGTATAAAGTACACAGAACTGAAAGCTTTTCGATGTAAAATCAGACAAGCTAGATAGTCTCTTGGGTTAATCTAAGTGACAGCTCTTCCAGCCGCTGAGTCCTTCTCCTTGCTCCACGCCTGGCACATATGCTAGAACTAACCTCATCAACTCTCAGTTTAAAAATACTTGTTTTGTCCCATACAGAATTTTAATTGTAATTTTCTGTAGCTGTTGGTAAAGCGAACTAAATGCTTCATATCATATAGACATTACATACCTTGCCACTGATAACATAACTGATTCCAAACTGATTTTGCACATTCCTACACTAACACTGAATAATAAGACTTAGATTTTGTATTAGCAATGTATAGACCTAAAAAAATGAGCAGAAGCTAACCAGTAGCAGATTGTTGTCTCCTACAGGAACGTTTTTTAATCAAGCTATGCAAATACTATAAAACCTAAGATTTCTCTCTCTCTCTCTCTTTTTTTTTTTTTTTTTTTTTTTTTTTTTGAGACAGAGTCTCACTCCGTCGCCAGGCTGGAGTACAGTGGCGCAATCTCGGCTCACTGCAACCTCCGCCTCCCGGGTTCAAGCAATTCTTCTGCCTCAGCCTCTCAAGTAGCTGGAACCACAGGTGCGCACCACCATGCCAGCTAATTTTTGTATTTGTAGTAGGGACGGGATTTAACCATGTTGGCCAGGATGGTCTTGATCTCTTGACCTCGTGATCCGCCCACCTTGGCCTCCCAAAGTGCTGGGATTACAGATGTGAGCCACCGCACCTGGCATCTCTCTCTCTCTTTTTTTTTTTCTAAAGAAACTAGATACTGTTGAAAGGATTCATATGTGAGATGAGAAATTTGTACTTGAAGTTCACATCCTTTCTGGCACTGCAATTCTAGGATACTACACAGCATCCAACAATTATTTAATTTACTCAATGTTTGTTTCCCAGGATTGCATCTTGATACTCACAGTACAAAGAAACTGATACTATTGCACCTGCTCTCCAGGAACTACTCTGTCTACACTAAGGCCATGTGCTAGCTTGGACAGAGCAAGGTGTCACAGAAACCCTCTCTTTCAGTGGGTGGTGGGGATGGGTACTCCTCCTGACTGTCTTAAATCTCTCCATAGAAATATCTCTTCGCTTGAGAAGTATACAATGACACAATTACAGAGCAGCACATCCCAATGTACTGCTTATTTGGAAATAAAAAGGTAAAGATGAAGCTTTTCTCTTTCATGCATTTGGAACATCTTCTGTTTATCTTTGATCCTAGGCCCGATTCTACTGATAATGTATACAAATGTATTTGGTAAATGACTCGATGTCTGAGCTTTCACTTCCTAATAAAATCTAATAATGTTGATGGGTGGGGTGAGGACGCAAGTATATGAAAAAGAAAGGACAGTTTTTAGAAGATTTTATGTTAAATACTTAAGAACTCACAGATTCTATTTCCCAAAAGATAGCTGAAGATAGGTCCCCAAGAGATGATCAGTCCCCAGTAGAGACACATCAGACCCTTGGGGCCCACACTCCCACTTTGGAACCTGGTCTGTCTGCATTGCTGTTTCATGGCCAGCATTTCTGTCCACAGAACACATCCTTACTTCAATTATTATGCCAAGGGCAGTCTCCCTACCTCTAATTTCTCTTCTCTGCACATTGTGACAGCTGCCAGAGTTTCCTTGGGGAAGCTCATGTTCTCTACGCCACCCTCCTCATCCTACTCCCTACTCCCCCATTTCCTGGAGAAAAGCCCTGAGTCCCAGAAAAGCACCCCTGAGGTCTTCAGCAACCTGGTCCCCTTTTCTTTCTCCCAGACAAAAACCTTGGCTCTGCTAGATTATTTGGGGTTTACCATAAAATCTCAATCCCTTTGGTGTTGCTATTCCTCGTTTTACCAGGAGGCTTTTCAGTAGCTATGACTTTTCTGGAGTCCCCAAATCAAGAATTGGGGGTATATGTACCAGGTGAGCTTTACCCACTCCTTGGCAATGAAGATCCAAGAAATAGGACAGGCAGAGCTTCATAGACTCTCTGATACCTCTTAGGATAACACCAGCCCCCAACTCCAACTGCAATCCCATAATATGTGCATGTCACTGTATTCCTTCCAGATACCTCAATCATTCCAAAATATTACAGGGGTCACACAGGATACCAGCTGTTCAGGATGCATAATTACATTACATCCATGGCCTATCATCTGAACCTTCATGCTAATTTATGATAATTAAGTTTTGTCGTAAGCATTGGTTCTTCATCATTCTTTCCTTCAGGCCTGATATTCCTTATAGTTAATATTCACCAATACCCTGAAGCCATTTCCCAGCACACTTCATTCACGTTTCTTCCTATCTCTTTGTTGTCGCTGGTTGTTAATATCCTTGGCATCATCTAGGTCTAGTTCCAAAGTCACCATCGCCGGGAAATGTCTATGATTTCTCCTTCTTAGATTCAGTTTTCCCTATGCCTCCACAACAATGATATTTGTAGTCATAATTTGAATTTCTGCTATTTTTAGTTTACGTGCTTGTTTTGCTGCCCATTTTTATTCTAACGCCTTCCAAAAAGGGTGTATGTCTTGTCACCTTGCGTTTATGGCAGTGCTTAGGGTACGGAAGGTTTTAAAGGTAAGTTTTTTTAACTGAATTAAATACACTAAGAGTAAGTAGGTGATCACGGTTATGGTAGGAGCAGAGATTAACAGATGGAAAAGTTACTGCTTTTAAAAAAGAGAGAAAGGTAAGAAACTGTAGATATACAAACAAATTCTGGAATTTTCAGAGAAAAATCACTGCTGCTTGAATCTCAACATCCATGATTTTAGTGCCCCACTTTAGGAAATAAGAACACAGAATAAGAGGGTAACAAAGGCAACAAAAGTGCACTTTTATTTACCTAAAGTGTATCTTAGGTCATACATAGCAGAGAGTTATTTTTGTTCTCTACTGGCTATTAACAAACATTTTGAACTTTACCTTCTGAATGAAGCAATAAATGAATGTATATGGTTCAGAAATAACACTAGTTGTTGTTGTTTTTTTCTTTTTTGTTTTTTTGAGACGGAGTCTCGCTCTGTCGCCCAGGCTGGAGTGCAGTGGTGCGATCTCCGCTCACTGCGAGCTCCGCCTCCCGGGTTCACACCATTCTCCTGCCTCAGCCTCCCGAGTAGCTGAGATTACAGGCGCCCGCCACCACGCCCGGCTAACTTTTTGTATTTTTAGTAGAGACGGGGTTTCACCGTGTTAGCCAGGATGGTCTCGATCTCCTGACCTCGTGATCTGCCCGCCTTGGCTTCCCAAAGTGCTGGGATTACAGGCGTGAGCCACTGCGCCCGGCCAACACTAGTGTTTTTAAACTGAGAATCCAGGTTTATAATGAAGAAACAATGAGACTCAAATATCCAATGGTAACAAAATATGAAGCAAGCCTGAATGATTCCAAGATCCTTCAACTGCACTTTACTCAGACTACTACGAATAAAAATTCATTCCATGCTTTGTTGTTCTCACTTGTAAGTGGGAGTTAAACACTGAGTACACACGGACACTAAGAAGGGAATAACGGGACACCGGGGCCTACTTGAGGGTGAGGGTGGGAGGAGGGCGAGGATGTAAAAAACACTCATCGGGTACTATACTTATTACCTGGGTGATGAAATCATCTGTATACCTGCAACACGCTATTTATAGATATAACAAACCTGAACATGTACCTCTGAAACTATAATAAAAGTTATTAAAAAATTCATTCCATGCTTTGTGATGAAAGAGGACATCGCGACATCAGGAAGGGTTGCTCATCGCAGCACTGTGATGAGTCTTCCCCCTGAGGTCCAGCGCACGGTTCATTCTTTCGGCTCTGGGGGCCTCCATGGACTCATTATAGCTGTCCCTCCACTCCTCACGGAGCACTTACTTGCACGCTTTTCTCTCTCTCTGAAGCACTCATAACATCTGACAACATGCGGTGGTTATGAATTGGCAGGGCACTTGTTTCTGCTCGCACATGTTGGCAGATTTATAAAACCTCCACCTGTTTTCAGGTGTGCTCCAGACCACATCTGCTCCGTCTCTGGTAATACAGGATCCCAGCCATTGGCAAGAAATACGTAATACTGAAAATAGCAGCACACTTAAAAAATGTTTATTTGAGGCAAAATACACATAACATAAAGCTGATTATTTTAAACTTTTTTTTTTTTTTCTTGAGACGGAGTCTCACTCTGTCACCCGGGCTGGAGTGCATTGGGCCTCTGCTCACTGCAACCTCTGCCTCCCCGGCTCAAGTGATTCTCCTGCCTCAGCCTCCGGAGTATCTAGGATTACAGGCACGCGCCACCACGCTCAGCTAAGTTTTTGTATTTTTAGTAGAGAAGGGATTTCACCATGTTGGCCAGGCTGGTCTCCAACTCCTGACCTCGTGATTTGCCCGCCTGGGCCTCCCAAAGTGCTGGCATTACAGGAGTGAGCCACCGCGCCCGGGCCATTTTAAACATTTTTAAGAACACAGTTCAGTGGTATTAATTACACTCATATTGTTGCGAAACCAATCGCCAGAACTTTTTCATCTTGCAAAACTAAAATTCTGTACACATTAAATAAAAACTCCCTATTCCCTTCTCCTCCCAGGCCCTGGAAACCACCATTGTACTTTCTAAATCTGTGAATTTGACTACCTGGTACCTTATTTAGTGGAACCATCCAATATTTGTCTTTTGTGACTGTCTTATTTTACGTAGCATGATGGCCTCAAGGTTCATTCATGTTGTAGCATGTGTCAGAATTTCCTTCCACTTTAAGGCTGAATACATAAATATATACATATGTATGTCCCATTTGTTAATTCATCTGTTGATGGCACTTCCACCTTCTGACTATTGTTCATAACGCTGTTATGAACATGGGTGAACAAATATCTCTTCAAGACCCTGTTTTCAATTCTTTTCTATATATAGCCATAAGTGAAATTGTTGGATCGTATGACCATTCTATTTTTAATAGAGAAACTGCTCCGGTTGTTTGAGGAACTGGTATACTGTTTTCCATCAGTGCTGCCCGATTTTACATTCCCACCAGCAGTGCACAGTCTTCCAGTTTCCCTATAGCCTTGCCAAGTCTTGTTATTTTATGCTTTTCAGAGTAGTCATCCTAATAGGTGTGAGATGGGACACCATATATTTTTTTTTTTTTTGAGATGGAGTTTTGCTCTGTGGCCCAGGCTGGAGTGCAGTGGCTCAATCTCGGCTCTCGGCAAGCTCCACCTCCCTGGTTCATGCCATCCTCCTGCCTCAGCCTCCCAAGTAGCTGGGACTACAGGCGCCCACCACCACGCCCAGCTAATTTTTTGTATTTTTTTAGTAGAGACAGGGTTTCACTGTGTTAGCCAGGATGGTCTTGATCTCCTGACCTCATGATCTGCCCGCCTTGGCCTCCCAAAGTGCTAGGATTACAGGCATGAGCCACCGTGCCCCGTCCCATACTTTTAATTTAAACTTCTTTTTTCCTGAAGAGCTCAGAGTTCTAATTCCAAGACAGCTTCCAATCCTTTTAGGAAGCCAGGAAATATATTGTTTCCAACTAGCATAAAACGAATATTTGGGGACAAATAATTTTCTAGAGGAAATGTATTTTAATAATCTTCTCATTTTTAACCCCACATCCTTTAATTGAAATGAATGGAGGAAGAAATGGTAACGGGAAGTAGCCACAAAGAGGCAGATGCATTTCAGGAAGTTTGAGAATTTGAGTCCAAACTACAGACACTAGACTCAAAACACAGAAACCACACTCAACAGAGAGGAGGATTGTTGAAGCTCGGCTGAGCTCTGTCAAGGTGGAAGCCTTGTCAGCCCCCAGGATGTTCAGCCATTCCTCTTCTCATACCGTTTTCCCTGGAAAGGGTTTGGTGACAGACTCCAAGCATCCTGGGCTCCCTATGGGAATTCCCAGGCAGAGTATTCAGAAAGTTCATGAAACACCAGGAGCTAAGTGGATCAGTGGCCATGATGACTGGCCAATGAGACACACTCATGGGCTCAACTGAGAGCAGGGGAACACATGACAAGCAGCCTTGAAAGGGGGAGGAAGCTGCGTTTCTGTAAGCGAGTCCTGGTTCAGAGGAAAGAGTTCAACCTTACGGATTAATTATGTTTGAAGATATAAAGCTAGCAATAACTGCAGCCACCCATCGATGGTCCCTGGGGATTTAATTCTTTAAGTAGACATAGGTGCCCTGCAGCAGCTTATAAAACTAATTGTGGGGAAAATGGCCAGGCACTAAAAATAATTAACTTTTCTTTTTCTTCCATCCCCTACCGACCCTTTCCCCACTCTAATGGCATAAATCTAATGGCAACAAAACATGGGTCTTATTTTTAAAGGTTAAAAACAATGAAAATTCAAGTGGCACATATTCTACTTAGTATTTTAAAGCACACCTTTTAAATGAAATTGCCTTAGCATGAACTCAGGATAAACTTAAAATCAGAGGCTATAGGGCTAAAAGAAAAGAATGGTGATCCAGACATGGATTCGAGCCCTGCCTGAATGATTACCTACGTGACCCTGAGTAGGACATTTAACCACTTTAAGCCTCAATTTCCTCATTTGGAAAATGAGGCTAGTAAATAACGTATCTCAAAGAGGTAATGTGAAGACCAGAAATGATAGGCATACGACTTTTGAACTGCTTTTCATGACACTTCAACTTAGAATTGCTGAAACGGGCCTTGAAAATATCCTATATACAATTGTTTTGGATTGTAAGCTACAGGGTCACCAGATTTCTTATGTGATAGATATCAATTTCTTCCTTGTATAAAAGTATAGATGTATATAGTTCAAGCTAGAATGATACATCTTTTGTTTCCACAGCAACGTACCTAGATAATATTTGGGAGTGCTCTCACTCAGGAACAAGAGAAGAAGGAGAACAGTCTTCTGATGGTACATTATAGCTATAATCTAAATATTTATGGACACTTTCTTCTCACACATAGAATATACTTTCTACCTCTCCAAGAAAAACAGTTCCAAATTTCTACCCAGTTATACAGCTCATGAGGTGGAGGCCTAGGTGATGCTTGGTCCTCTCTTACAGTTCAGTTATTCGCTCCTTACAGGTCCACAAAATTGCACCCAGCACACGTCAGTGGAGTGGAAACATCATCAGTGCAATAAAAACTCCCATTTGGAGAAAGGAGGTGCGGGAAACACAACACAGGTACCGGATTACGGTTATGATCAAATCCCACTAGGCAGGAGCTGGGAAGACTCCCTGCCTAGCAGACACCTAAGTCTCATGCTGGAAGCCCTCGGCTCTTCACTGGGAGGAGCTTCCTTGTCAATTGTCTTTCTCAACCTCTGCCAGTCTGAAGCCTCTCCATCCCCAGACCCACCTCCCATGCTGTGTGTGACTGACATTTTGGTGAACCTAATATCTGTAATTCTCATTTAACCAAAGATCACGAAGTCTTATGCCATTAGTGTTCTTTTATATTTCTGTGTCTCGTGGCTTGAAATGGGTTGTAAACTCTTTCAGAGCCTAAATATTGTTTCTTAGATGCTTCCAAAGCACTTACATGTTTTCTATACATGGGCCATGTTCAGATTATTATAATGGCAACCCTAGTAGTAGCTTTACTAATAATTTTGCAATATGTAACTGAAACTATCAATCAGGAATGTTTGACTGAATGATTAATTGAAATTATCAATCAAAAATAATCAGAAATGTTTTCAAAGACTTTTATAAACAAAAGTTCATCAGAAAATTAATTATGCTTACAAAACAATAGGGGCAACACCTAAATACCCAATAAAAATCTATAGATTTTCTCCACTAATCATTATATAGTATTGACAATACCCAAAAGGAAAAAAAATTGGTGCATCACTGAAGAAGTCAAGTTAAGGCAAAATGAGTCAGTACGTTTTCAAATGAATATGTAATTTATGTCTTAGGGAGGATTTCAATGAAATCCATGTCTGATATTTCCAGATGTGGTAACTGCTGGAATAACTTGTATTTTTGCTTTTTTGCACAAATAGAAACTAATACATAGAACCAAATGATTTATTTATCTTTTCTCACTGCAGTTTTATTGTATTAATTTTTAAAACATTGAAGATACGTTGGGGCTCATCAAGCAGAGGAATAAAATTAGGCATGGTACAATTATAAATGGTGCAGGTTTTCTAGGACCTTGTCCCTCAGAGCTTCTTCCATTAGAAATACAGAAACTTGGGCCCCACCCAATACCTACTGAATGAAAATCTGCATTCCAACAAGACACTCAAGTGATTTATATACACATTAAAGTTTGGGAAGCATTGAGTTAAAGTCAGTTGGAAAGTTCTTTTCTCTTATTAGTAGAAACTAATATTTTACCTGCTATTTAAATCTCATCCCAGCAAATACCATTTTAATGAGAGTTCCCTTATAAAAAACATATCCCACCCTGTTTAATTGTCTAGATATTTTAGGTAATATCAAATACGATGAACACCAATTTGACAATAGAATTAAAACACTCTATTAAAAGTTGTTTGAGGTGAGATTTGATCTCTTAAATATAACTAAGTGAACATTAAATATAAGGCCAATGAAATTATACCCGAAGTATCCATTTATTAAAGCTAGATACATGGCACTAGTATAGGAAAAGGCAGAGTGTAAAAAATTTATAAGGCACAATCTTGTTCATAAAAAACTTATAGACCATATTTTTACACACTATAAGACAATTTGATTATGACCTTCTAAAGTTCTTCCGTGGCCTCATTTTATTGTTTCATGTTTTAAGATTGAACAAGACAGAAACATTCTTCAAAATAGTAGGACTTTATGGCTGGGCGCGGTGGCTCACGCCTGTAATCCTAGCACTTTGGGAGGCAGAGGTGGGTGGTTCACGAGGTCAGGAGATAGAGACCATCCTGGCTAACACAGTGAAACCCAGTCTCTACTAAAAATACAAAAAATTAGCTGAGTGTGGTGGCAGGCGCCTGTAGTCCCAGCTTCTCAGGAGGCTGAGGCAGGAGAATCACTTGAACCCAGGAGGCGGAGGTTGCAGTGAGCCAAGATTGTGCCACTGCACTCCAGCCTGGGCGACAGAGCAAGACTCTGTCAAAAAAAAAAAAAAAAAAGTAGGACTTTACAATGTTTCTAAGAAGACTATTACCTGAATTAAACGTTTTCCTTCATAGCCTATTCTGATTACAACATATGCTAAATAAAGTATATACTTTTTTCTTATTTTTTGAGTTGTTTCTCTGTCCCTTGAAAAAAATACAGATAAATAGACTAAATAGATTCTGGAACATCAACAAGGAGATAGAAATCACAATTTATACCCTTAAAGAAGTAGTCATACTTCACGTTCCTTGTCATCTCTGTTCTGCCAAAGTGCTATTAGATTAGATATAAGAAATTTCTTGAAGTACTTAGATTACTACTCCATGTTAACCTTCAATGATGTTGAATTCAGCACGGCTTTAAAAGGAATTGAGGGGAAGGTGATTTACAATAAGAAACTAATAAGAAGTTAATATGTAGCCCATTTCATGGCAGGTGAATGAAGTTGAACAAACTCTATGTATAGCCTTGAATATGTCCTGAATATACACTTGTGTATACCCAATATTTTCCTGGGAATTCTTCATCACGGAAGTATCAAAATGATTTACTCTAGATGAATTCGAGCACAGAGACAGCCTTAAATAGCTATTTGTGTTGATTTGAAAATGGTTGCAGGATCAATAGTAATATAGGAATGTAACAGAAAGGGAATGGAAAGAATAAGAATTGCATACTGAGAATTTGCTAAATCACTAAAAATTCTATCTCATCTGTACTTCTTATTTAACTGAATAAGTTTGATGGAGGACAGTAAATAAGATATGAGTTTGGAATTTTCATTTACATACAGTATTGTATGTTCATATTAGTCTCAAAATATTTGTTTAGAGCATCCTCACGGGTGTTCCCTACCATTTCGCTTCACGTCAATGCATCACTTTCCTCAACTATTCTCCTGTTGTCAAAGACTAGAAGGGCTATCATTTCATAGTCTCATTTTCAGTTAGAATATATAACCGAATTATTGGCTTCATTTTAATGGAAACAGGAATAAAAAGATGTCATTGAAATCATTGAAAAGCACGCCCTAAAGTAAGTCTATTGGCCATTTATTTTTTATCTATATTGTTAGTGGCTAATAATTTTTTGTTACACTTTAAACAGTAAATATACACATCGTCCCCCACCAAAATAATATGGAAATGTTCCATTTAATTGTCATAAGAAGAACTCTGAGAACTGCATTTAAGTACACCTAGACTCTTTACAGTAAAGCATTGATGAAATTAACAATAAAAAGGTATAATGATTTCTACTGGAATAATTACATGGGTAATTTAACAGTGGATTTGGATAAAACTGGAGGCATTTGTATGATATACAGTTAAATATTTATAAATGGTATACTGTTTTTTGGATAAAGAGGCAATCTTTAAAAACGTTAAGTAGAAGAAATTCTTAAAGTGTACATTTTCTCTTTCATTATTCTAATGAATATCTATTCAAAAATAAAAAAGAATTAAAGATTTTAGATTACAGTTATTAATCAATGGAAAGAATAATGCTGAAGATATAAGCATACCAATGTATTCCAAAGACTCAGCTATGAAGGATGTGAAACTGCCTGTTTCTTTGATCAGATTTTAATGCTGACTGCTCTATCAATGTCGAACATGTCACTTAACAAAAAATCCAAAGATGAGCAGTTCCAGGTTAGCTAATTCAATGCACAATTACACAGGTGTTTTCTCAATGTTGTTCTCAATGCATCATCGGTGTTCACCTTCATGCTTGTTCTCTCACGGTCGCAAGAAACTGCTGCAGCTTCTTACATGAAGACATAATATCTTCACAAAACTTCATACAGAGATAGAAAAAAGGTGAATCTCATTTCAAGAGCTTGTAATTTGTAGAGCTAAGCTTCTACCTGAAATCATTTTCCTTAAGTCTGAAGAGCATCCTCTAATATTTGTGTAGTGCAGGTCTGCTGGTGCAAAATTCTCTCAGTCTTTCGTATCTGATAATATCTTTATTTGACCTTCATTTCTTCTACCTACATTCTCAGATACAGAATTATAGGTTCATAGTTTTTTTCCCTTTGAGAAGCAACTTTAATAATGTTATCCTATTGCTTTTTGAATGGCATTCATTTCTGGTGAGAAGAGTGTGATAATTCTTACCACTGTTCCCTTGCACATAATGTGTCTTTTTATTTGACTGTTTTAAATATTTTTCTCTATCACTGATATTCAAATTTTTTAATTATATTGTGTTTTTGTGGGACTTTCTTTTTGTTTGTTTAGATTGGAGTTTGTTAAACTTCTTGGACAGGGTGTTTATATTTTTCAACAAATTTGGGAAACATTTGGCTGTTATTTCTTAATATACATTTGTCTATGCCCACATCTTTCTCCAGTTATACTTCTGTTAGACCTTTTGAAGCTGTCCTATAGCTTATGTGGTTCAGTGGTTTTTTTTTTTTCTTCCTCAATTTCTTTTCTTCTTGTGCTTCAATTTGGGTAGGATTTATCATTCTATCCTCAAGTTCATCTATCTTTTCTTCTGTGGTATTTAATTTGCTCTTAAGCTCATTCAGTAGATTATTATAGCTATGGTATTTTTGTAGCTCCTCAGTTTCATTTGTTCTTTTTGTCCATCAATTCTCTTTTATAAATTCCATTCCTGTTTTCATTATGTCCATTTTCTGTAATCTTGAAAATATTTTAAAAAGCTGTTTTAAGGAGGTTTCACTTATAGTTTGATTTTCATTGCTTGAGTTTTCTCTTGCTTTTTCACATGTCTAAAAATTTTCATCCGGATGCTGAACATTGTTATTTCTACATTATCGAGTGTCTCGATTTTGTTGTCATTTAAAAAGTGTTGAGTTTTATACTGGCAGGAAGTTAAGTTACTTGCATCAGCTTTATCCTAGTAGGCTTGTTTATAGGTTTTGTTGTGATGGGCCTGCAGTAACCTTCACGGTATGATTAGCTCAGTCCCAGTAGAGTAGAAGAATTCTTCACTCTGGCCAAAGCTAAAATATTTTCAGAAATCTATATGAGCTCTGGCAGTTACTAACTTTACAGTTCCTCAATTTTTGTTCTTTCCCCGGGAGTTTTGCTTTGTCTGACTTCATGGAGTCTTACCTATGCATGCACAGCTTAGAATTCAGCTAAAGTGTCTAGATGACTCCTTGAAGATCTCTGGAGCTCTTTCTCTGTCTTTCTCCTCTCCATTACTCTGTGCCACAAATATCAGCCTTCTCATCCTCTCCAAATTCCCATCTTCAGCTCAGCAAGACCACCATGCTCAGTTTGGATTCCCTTCCCCACATAATGTACAGTAAATTCCTCCAGGTAGAAAGCTGGAAAAATCCTTTAGCCTATCCTGTTGTTTCCCTTCTCTCAGCCATCATAAACCCACACTTCCAATAGCTCAGCATCTGAAAACAGTTGTTTCATATATTTTCTCTAGTTTTCTCTTTGATTATAGGAGGATAGCTGGTCTAGTACACTTCACATATCTTTTTAACACCTGCCTGACTAATATGAATATATACTTGCATAAAGGTATCTACCTACCCACCTAGAAGTAGAATGTTCTGATTAAAACAATATTTTTATCAAAGGCTTACTATATATAAACACTATATGAATAATAAATATTTTATTTGTAACCAGCTTATACATTAAAATGAATAATTACATCTTGCCTTATTTTCTCTCTTCTTACCTCATTTCAGATACAACCTAGAAGTTTTCCAGGTTGCTGGAACCAGGAAATATGAGTCAAGTATCACCCCCACCCACCACCACCTTTTTCATCAAAGATTCTACCCACAGCACCATCCTGCGCCCTCCCTGTCTCTCACCATTTACAACATAGACCTCAGGTGAACATACATCCTCTTTCAACTTCTTCCACACTTTTGTCTTTCTTGAATTCTTAGCAGAGAATCTCAGGAAAACTCCTTGTTCTCTTTTTACTTTCTTTTTATATTGTTTGTAAATTTAAACGTGATTAGAGTCATTGATTACAAATGCAATAGTGCTAGTATAAATTTGTCAGAGAAAATCAAAGTTACACATTTTGTAATGAAAATAGATTTTCTAACAAGTTTCTTACCTTCTAAAATGTGTTTCTCAAGTTATGAGACCCTTTAAAAATTGCTATTCATTTGTACTAATACATTTGTAAATGTAACAGAAAATAATAATTAGTAGAAAATGATCACATGCCTGCATGTCACCACAATGTCATTGTGCTATATAAATTTTAAATGCTTTCTCTCAACGTCTGCATTTAACTTGTTGAAAATCTGTTTCAAACAATTCATGGACCAGCACTGATCTGCCATTTGGGATAGCAGTGACTTAGAGTATTAAGTCAGAATATTGTCAATCATCTCTTGCTAATGGCTTACCCATCCCTAACTAACATTTTCTACAGCTTTATATTGGAAATAAATAGCTGAAACTTTTCCTCCCAATAAAGTTGGTATTCTTAAAATTACCATTATAATCAATGATAGTAATTAAAATTCCCTTTTCCAGGGTGGTGATGGCTAAAAATACCTTTGAGAAAACACTGAAACAAACTTCCTATTATGTCTTAGAGGCCCTGACACTTAGTTGGAGAAGCTCCCTGATTAGGAATGCTGGAGCACCAGGCTCCTTTCTGCTAAGTCCCAGCCCTGGAAAGCATGGAGGGAACCAGGCCAGTGTCTGCTGGCCTCCAATCAGCCTAGTGGAATCAGCTCTCATAGGTCGGGAAGGAGTGAACCTGTGGACTAAAGAACGGCACAGCAGGAGCCGGCTCACCACATTTCCTGTTAGATGTTATCAATGCTTCTCTTTGCAATTTTGTGAACGCGTTGGGGTGCACTAAGCGGCTAATGAATGTCTACTTGCCAAGTTTCTAAAAGGGAGTATGAACCAAAAGACAGCCAACAAACAGAAGTCTGCTACTGTGGATTAAACTAACTTTCATAAATTAAACTTGGAAATTAACATTTATATCTAACCCAGAAAAATCAGCGGCTCAACAAACTTTTGGAACTCAGCTAGATTGAAGTCTGTGAACTTCTTAGACATTATACAGGCTGCTATTTTAAAACAAATAGAATATCTCTTAATACTAAGATGATTTGAAAATGATATAACTTTTTCTTTCATGATTCAGAAAGTATTTAAGACATTTTATGACCTTAGAGCTATTGCCAGTAACATCAACTCCATTATAAGGTACCGAATAGGTAGAAGTAGAGAGCTTGAAAGAATTTGCACTGGCTTGCTGAAATGTCTAGGTTCTCTTTTTAGACAGAAAAGATTCTTTTTATTTATGTATTAACATTTTTGTTTTTTATTAAGAATAATTAATTTGAGCTTTCAGATTGTTTAATTTTGCAAAAGTAGGAAATTTTCTCTTACTTTCTTATTTTGTATTTTGGAGATTACTTCTAACAAAAACAACCTGCCGCTTCTCTTTTATTCCCTTCACAACTATGATGACTTAAATTGTCCACTCAACAACGGGAGTATTTAAAAGAATCACTACATATAGCCCTGAATTTTTTCTCACACATCCTGTTAATAGCCCTAAAGTGCCATCTGTTATCTAGAACGTGTGAAAAATAAAAGAATCAAAGCTGCACATTATTTTGGTGAATGCTTGAAGGAATAATTTTTTTCATTCACGCATCCTCAAATATGCTTAGTTTTCATCTTCAAATATGGCCTTCCTTAAATGGAAACAACCCAGTTCAAAAAGTACAGAGTGTGTGGAGAAACAAAGGGAGGGGAGGGATAAATGTAATTGCAATCAACAGGTGCAGATACAAGCAATACAAAGCTAGTCTTTGAAGAATCAGAGGGAAAAAGAATCCCACAATAATTTACCAACAACACAAGAGACTGACATGAATGGTGAATGGCTTTCCATTTTTTAATTGAATGTAATGATAGGACTTATAAAACATACACAGACACCCATTGCTCAGAGGAAGCACATATTCGCATTCTGCCACATTTCGTTCTGCCAGCACACTTAAGAAAAAGTAATTAAAACTTCATGGCATAGCTAAAGCCTTGCCTACAGTTCTTTCACTCCTCCTCTTCCTTCTTCCTCAAGCCTTATCCTAAGGTCAGTGTATATCATTCCCATGAATATTTAACTCACTTTTTCTACATATGTATGCACCCATAAATAATACATACAATTGTTATATGAATTTAACCCTATATATATATTTTATGCACATATATAATATAGTCCATTTTAACTTCTGGGTAGTATTTCATTGCATAAATAAACCACAGACTACTCTAGAAATCTGGGGCTAGGGAATAATTTACGAGAGTAGCAAGAGACAAGTCTCCATAGTCTGTGGGAAAAAATGTATTTAAAATAAAGGCAACAAGAAGGTGATATAAAGGCCTTCAAGACCTTAATATTTGCAGAGCCTTGGTTTCCCATCTGCAGCTTTCTCTGCTGGAGTTTTTCAAAACTTCTTTAGGTTTTATGTTTTATTTAGATACAGACAAGTTATTGCATATATGCTTTCATGTTTATTTAAGGATATTTGTTGGCTATGAACAGTAATAGTGCAAAGCTAATAAAATTTTAAATGAACATGACAGAGAAATTTAGATTTAGATTTCTAGATAACTTATGACATATATATGTATATTATGGAATACTATGCATCCATTTAAAATAATAAAAAAATCCATCTATCTATATATCCATATCTATATTTGATATGAAACAAGTTCCAAGATATATTTCAAGTGTTTTTTTAAATTTTAGAACAATTTTAAATTTACAGACAAGTTGAAAACATACTACAGAGAATTCTCTATACCCATTTTCCTCGACTGTTAAATCTTACATTAGTATGATACATCTGTCACAATTAACAAAACAATACTGAGACATGATTTTAAACTAAAGTCCATATTTTATTGAAATCTTCTTAGTTTTCACCTAATGTCATTTTCTTTATTTTTGTTTGAAACAGAGTCTTTCTCTGTCACCCAGGCTGGAGTGCAGTGGTGTGATCTTGGCTCACTGCAACCTCCACTTCCTGGGTCCAAGTGATTCTCCTGCCTCAGCCTCCCGAGTAGCTGGGACTACAGGAACCCGCCACCATGCCTGGCTAATTTTTGTATGTTTCATAGAGATGGGGTTTCACCATGTTGGCCAGGCTGGTCTTGAACTCCTGACCTCAGGTGATCCACTCGCCTCGGCCTCCCAAAGTGCTGGGATTACAGGAGTGAGCCATCATGCCCGGCCACCTAATGTCCTTTATCCACACTAGAATCCCATGCAGAATGCTGCATTACATTTAATCATCATGTCTCTACGGGCACCTCTAGGCAATGACTTCTTAGATATTTCTTGTTTTTGATGAGCTTCACAGTTCTGAGTTCTCATCAGGTATTCTGTGGAATGCCCCTTTGTTTTGCTTTGTTTGTTTTCTCATGGTTATGCAGGGGTTAAGGATTTGGGGGAGAAAGGTTGCAGGGGTAAAGTGCCATTCTCATCACACCATTCCAAGGATACATGCTATCAACATGACTTATACCTGATGATGTTAAGTTTGATCACTTGGCTGAGTGTTTGTCAGGTCTCTCCACAAAGAAGTTGCTCTTTTTTTTTCCACTTTCTTTCCTTTCTTCCTTTTTTTTTTTTTTTTTTGAGACAGAATCTTGTTTTGTCACCCAGGCTGGAGTGCAGTGGCACAATCTCGGCTCACTGCAACCTTTGCCTCCTGGGATCAAGCAATTCTCCTGCCTCAGCCTCCCAAGTAGCTGGCACTACAGGCATGTGCCACCATGCCAGGCTAATTTTTGTATTTTTAGTAGAGATGGGGTTTCACCATGTTGGCCAGGCTAGTCTCGAACTCCCGACCTCAGGTGATCTGCCTGCCTCAGCCTCCCAAAATGCTGGTATTATGGGTGTGAGCCACCATGCCTGGCCTCCACTTTCCATACTCTATATTTTGGAAAGAAGTCACAATGCACAGCCCACACTCAATGGGGTGGAAAGTTAGGAATTATTCTGAATTCTTCCATTTTGGACAGAATTGCCTCTTATCTCCCATTTATTCATTCAATCATTTACTTATATCAATATAAACTCACAATATGCATTTTATACCCAAGGTTTTACTCCAATACAACTTTATTTATTTTGTTCCTCAAATTATTCCATCTTTGACCACTACCCTGACCTAACTCTAGTATCAGCCATTTCTCCAAGGAGCCCTGGTTCCTTTTATTGGAGAGTGGTATTTAGAAACCAAGATGTGGGCACTAGCTGTGCTCACTGCAACAGCTCCTCATTGCTTCTAGGCCCTCTCACCTGAAAGAACAAGAAAATATGTGTGCATATACGCAGATATAGAAATATTTATCCATATCACCATCTGTATTTATGTTAAAGTAAATATGAGTTCCTAATGATGACTCCAATTCCAATCTGTTATCATATTGTTCTAGCCTTCCCTTGTTGCTTATCTGTAACCTCCCTCTCAAACAGGAAGACACCTGCTGCCTCATCTGCCATCTATTTACTTATTTGTTTAATCACTCTATACATGTATAGTGATTTCAGAACTGATAACATGTACTTCTATTGGAAACTAATCAAATAAAGCACAGTGCTTATATGCAGTTCCTTTTGTCTTCAGTCATACAATCTCCACTCATTTCCAGTTACCTAAGTCAGCAAATTTCTTCCATCTTCCTTCAGTGAAATAACACATTGTTTATATGCTTACATTTTTTTTGTCACAGTCTACATTCCATTCTGAGATCTTCCAACCTCTAATTGGTTAGTTTTTAATTTGCAGACATTAAGGCATACTCTTTATGCTATAAAGTGCAATGGGTTTTGACGAATGTATAGTGTTGCGTATTCACCACTACGGTACCATACAGAATAATGTCACCACCCTAAAATATTTTCTGTGCTTCACCTATTCAACCTTCTGCCACCTCTCTCCCTTAACTTCTGGCAACCACTGATCTGTTTGCCATCTCTTTATTCTTTTCCAAAAAGTCATACAAATAGAATTATTCAGATGTAGCCTTCAAAGGTTGGATTTTTCACTTAGCAATATGCATTCAATATTCACCCTCCCAGCCTCACTCTGACCTATGTTTATGTTCTTATGCATAGATATATAGAAAATAGATATATATTTATGCATAAATATATAGAAAAATGTTTGAAGGGATACCTATTACTGGCCTCAGTTATCTCTGGTGGAAAAATAAAAACTGAATTACAGATACGAACAAGTTAAAGGAAGAAGGCTTTCAATTTTATGCTCTTTATTTTTTTCTGAAATATTTAGATTTTTTTCCAATGAGTGTGCATCGCCACTATAATTTTAAAGGTTCTTTTTAAAAGTATGCCATTTTCTGCCACCTTTGTTTTCTTTCTATGTTCACACCCTTGTATATTCCTCAGTTTTCATTTCTATAGTAACTACAAAGACTTTTGATTAAAATCCTTTATAACAAAGAACAGAACTAACACTTTTTAAATCATACATTTTCCCCATGTTTAATGTTTAATAATCAAAATCAACCCAATTTTCTTGCTTAGACCAACATTTGCCTCCTTTTTTTCTCTCTCTGCTCCCCCTGCCTTTATGTCTTTTGTATCATCTCCCCTCCTGAAGCTTAGGTGGTATTAGGCAGCCAACAGACAACTCACCAGGCTTACAAAGACAGTTTTTGAAAGAACTGCTCTAGAACTGCCAGATGGTATTGCATCAACCACCTCAAGAAAAGGGCATGAACCATTGGCATCGTCTTTCAATCATTTCAACTACAGATTTTGCAGCAGTTACAGATGAAGGCAACTACAACCTTGGACAAGATCACAGCCACATATTCCTCTCTTCTCTCTACCTGTCCTACTCCAATCCTGCTTCAACTTAGAGAACTAGCTCATGTTAAGGGGCTTCTTGATGTGTAGCTGTTGAATAAAGCCTTTAACTTCTATTTTACTATTGTTTTCTTCAATGACATCTAACAGAAAATTAATTTATGGTAAAAATCTGTCCTGTGCAAAACATAAAAAAACTATTAAATCTCATGGACAAAAGTCACCCCCAGGTCACTAGGTTGATGGAGATTTTATAAGCAAAAGATGAATAAACATATAAACTATTGCAACCCCAAGGCAAACTTAGCATTCAATAAACCTAGACAAGCTCGAAATAGCATGACGGTTTTTTTTTGTTTGTTTGTTTTTGTTTTTTTTTTTTTTTACAGTAAAACCAATCCTGTATGTAGTCATAAGTATCACTTAGCTTCAAAGTTCAACAGTTTGAGACAGGATGTTGAAGTACTATTTGATAGAAAATTTTCCCTATCTTCTTAAAAGCTTGTCAATAATGGAAAATTTCCCCAAGTCCAACAATTTAAAGTTATTAAAATTGGATGCCCACTAACTAACCTGGACATCAGACAACGAACCTCTTCAGAATGAGAAATGGAGCTGCTGCCCTGAAGAAATTCCTATTTTAACAAAAAGGTTGGGGATTTTGGTGCATTTTAACAGCTTCTTCAATTAAGGGATTCATGTTTTCCTTCCATTGTTTCCTAAATGACCCTGGAAAAAACTGAAAGTAGAAGGTAAAATATACATAAAGGTGTGAGTTCTAGGTGGATCATTGAATTATTGCAAAGTGTGTGAGATATTGGTGCCCAGAGAGGGTCCGGAACTCAAATATTGGTTCTTCTCATACCAAATCCTTATGCCAATAATAGCACCATGCGGGTGGCAATACTGGTCATATGTTCAGAGGAACTCTACTGTCTGGAGTCTGAGCATCTGTAAGAACATGACAGTCTTATAATACATTTCCCTTCCTTACTAGCTAATGCCCAGAGCTCCATCTCACCCCATCACTTCCAAGCTGCTGCATCCTCAGTGTCTGGTGGATGCTTCTTGATGATTGCATGAGTTCAATGTATGCTGAGATTAACAACAGAGACAGTTGAGCTTTGCTGCTGGTTCATGCTGCTGCTTCCTCCAGGAAGCCTTTCCTCAGCATGTCATGTCTTCATTGGGCTCTCTCCTCTCAACCATTCACTCCTTACTTAATTCAAGTGGTGGGCATTCCCTTACATTTTAATGATTTTTTAAATGATTTTTCACCTAAGTTCCTTCACATGACTTATTGCATTTGATTGATATTAATTTAATACTTCTGTGTGTAGAGAAGTCATCTTCTCGGCGATCCCTGAACTTCTCTAAAATACAAGTTTTATAACTTATGCTTATTTGCATCACACAGAGCATTTAACTCAGTGTTTCTCAAAGTAGGATATTTTGGGATCACCTGACGAAGCTGTTAAAATGCTGTACCAAAAACCCTAAAAAAAAAAACTGGATATAGAAGGAACATACCTCAACACAATAAAAGCCATATATGATAGACCCACAGATAGTATCATACATAATGAGGAAATTCTGAAAGCCTTTCCTCTAAGATCTGGAACAAGACAAGGATGCCCACATTCCCCACTGTTATTCAAGATGGTACTGGAAGTCCCAGCTAGCTAATCAGATAAGAGGAAGAAATAAAAGCATCCAATTTGGAAAGGAAAAAGTCATAATTGTTCTTATTTGCAGATGATATGATCTTATATTTGGAAAAACCTAAAGACTGCACCAAAAAATTGAGAGCTGACAAACAAGTTCAATAAACTTACAGAATATAAAAATCAACATACAAAAATCAGTAGCATTTCTATATGGCCAACAGCAAACAATGTGAAAAAGAAAACAAGAAAGTGATCACATTTATAACAGTTACAAACAAAACAAAATAACTAGGAATTAACCAAAAATGTGAAAGATCTCTACAATGAAAACTATAAAACATTGATGGAAAAAATTGATGCAATAAAATAAAAAGATATTCCATATTCAGGAATTAGAAGAATCAATATTGTTAAAATGTCCTTACTACCCAAAGCAATCTACAGATTCAGTGCAATCCATATAAAAATAGTAATGACATTCTTCACAGAAGTAGAAAAAAAAAAAAGCCCTAAGATTTATATGGAACCACAAAAGACCCAGAATGACCACAGTCATCCTGAGCAAGAAGTACAAAACTGGAGGAATCACATTACCTCACTTCGAATTATACTACAGAGCTCTAGTAACCAAAACAGTATGGTACTGGCATAAAAACAGACACACAGACCAATGGAACAGAATAGGGAAGCCAGTAATTCATACATCTACAGTGAACTTGCTTTTGACAAAGGTGCTAAGAACATACACATGGGAAAGGACAGTCTCTTCAATAAATGGTGCTGGGAAAACTGGATATCCATACGCAGAAGATTAACACTAGACCCCTATCTCTCACCACACACAACAATAAATCAAAATGAATTAAAGACTTAAAGACCTCAAACTGTGAAACTACTGCAAGAAAACATTGGGAAAAATCTCCAGGACATTGGTCTGGGCAAAGATTTCTTGCATAATACCCCACAAGCACAGACAACCAATGCAACCTAGCACCATTTATTGAAGAGACTGTCCTTTCCCCCCTTTTATGCCTCTGGTTGCACTTGAATAAAACTAGACCTCTATTTCTCTCCATTTACAAACATCAAATCAAAATGGATTAAAGACTTAAATCTAAGACCTCAAGCTATAAAACTACTAAAAGAAAACATTGGGAAAAATCTCCAGGACATTGGTCTGGGCAAAGATTTCTTGGGTAATACCTGAAAAGCACAGACGACCAAAGCAAAAATGAGCAAATGGAATCACATCAGATTGAAACGCTTCTGAACGGCAAAGGAAACAATTAGCAAAGTAAAGAGACAATTCACAGAATGGGAAAAAATACTTGCAGACCATCCATCTGACAAGGAATTAATAATCAGGATATATAAGGAGTTCAAACAATTCAATAGGAAAAAAAATCTAATAATCTGGTTAAAAATTTGGTCAAGATCTGAATAGACATGTCTCAAAAGAAGACATACAAATGGCAAACAGGCATATGCAAAAGTGCTTAGCATAATTTATCACCAGAGAAATGCGAATCAAAACTACAAATTATCTCACCCCAGCTGAAGTGGCTTTTATCCAAACAAAGGCAATAAAAAGTGCTAGCAAGGATGTGGAGAAAAGGGAACCCTTGTACACTGCTGGTGGGAATGTCAATTAGCACAACCCCTATGGAAAACAGTACGGAGGTTCCTCAAAAAAACTAAAAATAGAGCTACCATACGATCCAGCAATCCCACTCCTAGGTATATATCCAGAAAAAAAGGAAAGAAGTATATCGAAGAGATCTGAACATTCATGTTTACTGCGGCACTCTTCACAATAGCCAAGATTTGGAAGCAACCTAAGTGTCCATTAACAGATGAATGGATAAAGAAAATGTGGTACTTACACACAATGGTACTATTCAACCATAAAAAAGAATGAGATCCTGCCATTTGCAGCAACATGGATGGAACTGGAGGTCATTATGTTAAGTGAAATAAACCAGTCACAGAAAGACACACTTTGCATATTCTCACTCACATGTGGAGGCTAAAAATTTTAAAAACTGACTCATGGAGATGGAGAGTGGAATGATGGTTACCAGAGGCTAGGATGGGTAGTGGGGTGGGGAAAATATTAATAGAATGAATAAAATCTAGAGTTGATAGCACAACAGGGTGACTACAGTCAACAATAATTTACTGTACAGTTTAAAATAACTACAAGAGTAGAACTGAAATGTTTATAACACAAAGAAATGATAAATGCTTGAGGTGATGGATACCCATTTAACCTGATGTGATTATTATGCATTGCACTGCATGTCTGAATCAAAATATCTCATGTACCCCATACATATATATACCTACTATGTACCCACAAAAATTAAAAATGAAAAAAATGTTTAAATGACATTCCACATCCCATCTCTAGGTATTCTGTGTTCCTAAGTCTGGGTGAGGTTCAGGGGTAAGCATTTTTCAAATGTCCCTCTGGTCCCCAAGCTCCGTGATTCTCAGGCTACCATAGCTTGGAAAGCACTGATTAGCTCAACGTTCTTCCCAAAACAATGCTGAATAGATACAATTAAACAGAGTTGGAGGCCAGGTGCGGTGGCTCACACTTGTAATCCCAGCACTTTGGGAGGCTGAGGTGGGAGGATCACTTGAGGCCAGGAGTTCAAGACCAGCCTGGCCAACATGGTGAAACACTGCCTCTACAAAAAATACAAAAATTAGCCAGGTGTGGTAGTGGGCACCTGTAATCAGCTACGCCGAGATCATGCCACTGCACTCCAGCCTGGGTGACAGAGTGAGACTCTGTCTCAAAAAAACAAAACAAAACAAAAACAGAGTTGGAAATACTCTCATTAGGCCTAGAACATTTCTACTTTCTCATTAGAATTTAGGGGAAGGGGGGGATATATGTGAAAGTAAGGGCTACCACATGTAGACAAGCTATAATGTGGGTATCTTATTCATTTGATGGAGGCTCACATAGAGCATCTGCCACCCAAAGGAGATGTGGTTACTATTATGCTAATACGAGAAACAAAGATACTCATGCACAGAGAGGTTAAGTAATTTACCCAATGCCTACAGCGCCTAGTAAGTAGCTGAGCAATGTTTTGATAGAGACCCAATTGGCCCTGTGGAGATGGGAGGGGTACTTTGTCTACTTTAGCAAGAACAGAGAGTAGATGCTTAATAACAGTACTTGTTTAATGACTGAACAAACGCAGGAAAGAACTACCCGGGAATGTACCGCTCTGCAATTCCATCAGTTCCCTCCATGGGAGACACACGGTGGCTCCACCCGCCCAGGATTATGTGATATGAAGTGCTTCTCCTCGTGGGCTCCTTGTTAAAATGCCAATTCTCAGACCCGGGCCATGGACATTCCGGGTTCCCAAGTCAGGTGGGGCCCAGGGATAAGCATTTATTTTTGATCAGCACCTCAGGTAACTCCTGTCTTCACCATAGTTTGAAAAACACTGGTGGGCAGGTCCCTAGGCTGGAGGAGCCCACGTTTCCGCCTCCCTGCCTGCCCTCCGGGGGTGCACTCTCCTCACACAGCTGCTCCCATGAGCCCACTACAGGATCCTGGAGGCTCTGAGGGATGTGGAAGGTATTTCTCCAGAATATGCCTTGCTGGCAGCTCTTGGCAGACATGCCATCGAGAGAAATCTCAGCCCCAGAAGAGCAAGTGTGGCTTTTCCTGGCAGAGAGGCAGCAACACCCAAGGAACACAGTGGCAGGATGGGGCAGTCGTCATGAACATGGCACATGGAGCATGGTTGAGGGCTCAGAGACAGAAGCCCAGGGTAACAGGTACCCTGGGTGCGTCAGTGGCAGCACAGAGATGAAACACAGTTCTGACGCACTGGGATTCACTTATTTTTCCTGTGTTCTCTTTTCTTCTGGTACTTCGGAGCCCACTGTGACACCTGCAGCCTCGCCCTCTCCTGTTGGAATCATGTGGGGATCTTCTAAAGCACTAACACTGGGCCCTGCCCCAGAACCCCTGGAATCTCCTGGGGCGGGGCTGAAGGTGGCAGAACATGCAGGCAGCTCGCTCCCCGGTGGGTTTTTATTTCTGTTGGAGTTCAGAATAACCCGTCTGTGCCCCCAGTTACTACAAGGATGAGAGATTGTACAGCCCAAACTGCACCTGAACCACGCAAGCTGTGAGGACCTCACCTCGCAGAGGCTTCCAGAGCCAAGTACAGTTCCAATCTGTGTCTACCCGCAGGCTTCACCCAAGCCCTCTCAGCTTCTCATATCTCTCTGGAGAGACACTTTCTTCTTTCTAGTCAGCTTTGGGTCAAATATGTGTTTGTTCCCCAGTTTGGAGCCTCAAGACTTGCCTACAAAAATGCATCTGCAAATCCTTTGTTTAAAAAACGCATTAGGCTGCCCTTTCCCTGAAGCCAAGGTTGCCCTTGTCAACACAGGCTTGGCCCTGGACCACATTCCTCCTAATCCTTGTCTTTGTTGCTTTTCTACAGACCTCAAAACTTTTCCATGCAGTAGAAGAGCAGAATAGGAGAGTGATTTAGAATACAGGCTTCAGAATTAGAGTTTTAAACATTTTAAGCTAATTTCTGTTTTTATTTTTTATGGGTAAGTGTATATGGGGCACAGGTGATGTTTTGATACAGACATGCAATGTGTAACAATCACATCAGGGTAAGTGGGGTGTCCATCACCTACAGCGTTGATCAGTTCCTTGTGTTAGGAACATTCCATTTCCACTCTCAGTTATTTTAAAATATGCAGTACATTATCGTTGACTGTAGTCATTCTGTTGTGCTGTCAAATACTTAGAGTCAGATTTGAATTCAAACTCTGGCTTTGCCATCTCTATCCTGTGACTTGGAGCAAATCACTTATCTACACCTCAATTTTCCTGTCTTTAGAATGGGCATAATAAAGTAGACCACACCTTATGGAGTTGTTGGGAGGATTAAATGAAGTAACTAGCACCCGACAATACTATGTGCTCAATACACCTTAACTATTACAACTATGATATTATCACTATTAGCCCAGCCCCACTCTGTGATGCAGGTGCCGGCTTCCCCTTTAATCCCTCATGATGGAGTCACAGAGTCTTTTTGGGAGAATGCAACAGAATGTGATTGAATCCCTGCTGGGTGTCAGGCACTTGACACCCACAGCCTGTTTTAACACCTCTCTGATTTCATGAGGTAGGTATCATGTAAGCAACTGTAGGAAGAAGAAGCCAAAGCCGCAGGAGGCTAGATCAGAGAGGAAGCCTGGCCTGTCTGAACTCCAAAGCCCTTCCCTTTCCACAAGGCCAGGCTTCCTAGAAAAGGCAGGGTGCCTAGAACACCAGCCTCAGAAAGGCTCTTCCTTTAAGTTTCTTCCCCGCTAGCTTTCACAAGAAACTCCAGTGCCCTTTTCCCACACCTGCCTCCATCACTCTCACTTTCACAAGGGCGTGATCATAAGCTTTTGTTTTGTTTGTGTCCTCCAAAATTCTTAGGTTGAAGCCAAACTCCCCATGTGAAGGTATTAAGAAGTCGGGCCTTTGAGGGGCGATTAGGTCACAAGGGAGAAGCCCTCATGAAAGGGATCTGTGCCCTTATGAAAGGGACCCAGAGAGCTCTTTCACCCCTCCATCATGTGAGGACACATCTAGAAGGTACTATCTGTGAACCAGGAAGAGGGCCCTTGCCAGGCACCGACTCTGTTGGCACCTCGATCTTGGACTCTCCAGCCTCCAGAATTATGAGAAATAAATGTTTGTTGTTTAAGCCCCCAACCTACAGTATATTATTATAACAGCCCAAACAGTCTTTGCAGCTCTCCTAGGTTAAAGGCCTCTCCAATGACCTCATTTTTTTTTTTTTTTGGTAAGGAGGTGGAAAACACAGGATGAGAAAGAGACATTCCATATTTAGAATACTGAACAAGAAGCCACAGAAGAGTGTTTGTTGTCAAATACAAAACAGATCTTTCTGTAAAGACAGAGAAACTTTCCAGATATCTTTTCTCTATTTTTCCAGCATTCTTTACACCATCATTTCATTAAAATATGCACATAATGGTATATTGGCAGAATGCCTGGAACCAAACTTAGCTACACAGTAAAACTCCTAACCAAGTTCTTTTTTTTTTTTTTGAGACGGAGTCTCGCTCTGTCACCCAGGCTGGAGTGCAGTGGCGCGATCTCGGTTCACTGCTGCCTCTGTCTCCTGTGTTCCAGTGATTCTCCTGCCTCAACCTCCCAGGTAGCTGGGATTACAGGCACGTGCTACCACACCTGGCAAATTTTTGTATTTTTAGTAGAGATGGGATTTCGCCATGTTGGCCAGGCTGGTCTCGAACTCCTGACCTCAGATGATCCGCCCACCTTGGCCTACGGGCATGAGCCAGCGCGTCCAGCCTGAGTTCTTACATTGATCATTTAAATTTCGAGTAATTTGTACTAAAGTCCAACTCTGACTCACAGTACTTTTGCAAATGCTCGATTGCAAAGATCGGATGAAAGTTTTTATAGTAATGTCCTTTGTGAAAAATGTTTGCTCACTCTGACAGAGTAATATCAGTGTCAGAAACTAATGTAAACAGGTCCAAATAAGCCTATGTCGCTTATGCTTTTTTTCCTTCCTGTGACTTTATGAACAGTTTGTGATGATTCCCCCAGGTACTGGATTACATGAGCAAAGTACCACAAAATGGAATAAAGTTACTCTCGACACACTTAGTTATGCTCCAGGATCACTCCCCTTATCTCCTATTTAAGAGTTGGGAGTTAGATCAACTCTTCCCCCTTGACTGATGATTCCTGGAATTTATAATGCTGACTCTCAGTAGTGAGTAGACTCCTGTCTAAGCAAACAATCCCATCCTGAGCTTATTGGCTCACTTATTTGAAGGCTTGTGGATCTATTTCAAATCATGAATATTTTTGAGATGAAAAAAATGTTAGCAATTGCTGACCTCTCCCTCTCCACTCCTGTCTCCTCCCCATCCCTACCCAATACCTCCCCACTTTGCTAGCCCGGCTGTAACTTGCTCAAGGTCACTTACTATATTGAGGAAAGGAGCTACAACTAGAAACCAGATCACTTGCAACTGTTTAATGTGAAGCTATTGTTAATTCCATTACTTTGTGGCTAATTACTAGGTTAAGGTAATGAGGTATATGATGTCAAACATATAAAGTCACACCATAGGCCATGTCCTATAATAGTTGGTCAAGAAATCCTGGCTACAACGATATCATTATTATGACAATGTATAACATAAACTTGTCTTATGCCTAGGTCAGAGCTTAATACCATATTGATGGCATTGGCAAACAAGAGGATACAAGTGTCCTCTTTAAGATGGAATAGAACCTCAATCCTGCTCAAGTGAACTGGATCTCTTAAGGGGAGGTAATATCTGCACAGGTTGGGAGGATTTGGAGTGGTGGTTGGGAACATGTACAGAATTTACAACATTGTTTTATGTTCCATTATTAATATTTGGTTTTTTGCCAAGAAAAATGTATTTATTTCATCTTGGTAATATGATCAAAGGAAGGGGAAGGGCCACTGAGGATACTCACAACTGTGGTTTGGTTTCAGCAAAACACACATTCTTCTATTGTGGGGTATAATCACTCTTACACACTCATAACCTGTATGTTAGTTTCTTAGGCAAAGAAACACTCTTCGCACAGGGATTGCTCACAACTCTTTCCATGCCAAGAAGCATGTGAGGAGGAGGGGATGGTGTGCACTCCTGTTGTGGACGGTAACAGAACCTGGAAATCAATGCTTTGAGGGGATTTTATTTTGACAGCTTTCACTAACTTTGTTTTTATACTTTCCTAAGTCTAGAATGAGAAGAGCCTTTAAGTTCTCACTGATCCTCAAGGGAAGAAAAGAAGTCCCCTGTGAGGGGAACACAGCATCTTCTGAGAATACCTTTTCCAACTGCAGCCATCTTGCCTCTCTCACCTTCCATACCACAGTGCTGATCCAGGTACCTGTAGAGTGCTCCATCACGCTGGACTCGCTGGAATGGGGGTAATGAGGATGACCCATCCTTACCACCATGCACATCCTTTAGAATGTTGGGGCCAGCAAGAAAGCTTGAGAACCACTGGTAGATGGTATCAATATCTCTTCCCAATCCAAAATTCTATGGTACAATCTATGTAAGAAAAGGCCTAAAATCTAACTGTGGGTGGACAGAACAGAATTAATTTTTACATATGAATGAAAACAAAGACATACCATCAAAAAGGCATGGGTAGTCAGATATCCTCACAAAGCAATGTTTGTGTTCCCAACCATTTTATAAAATTTCCTCATTTTTTTTTGTTGTTGTTGTTGTTGAGATGAAGTCTCACTCTGTCGCCCAGGCTGGAGTGCAATGGTGCAATCTCAGCTCACTGCAACCTCCACCTCCCAGGTTCAAGTGATTCTCCTGCCTCAGCCTCCCGAGTAGCTGGGATTACTGGTGCCTGCCACCATGCCCGGCTAATTTTTGTATTTTTAGTAGAGACGGGGTTTCGTCATGTTGGCCAGGCTGGTCTCGAACTCCTGATCGCAGGTGATCTGTCCGCCTCGGCCTCCCAAAGTTCTGTGTTTACAGGCATGAGCCACCACACCCAGCAAAATTTCCTCCATGTTACACAAGCGTCTCTGTGGGAAAAAGGCTAGAACTGTCTTTAAAGTATCTTTAAGGTATCTTTCCAGCAAGTTTCTCTCCATTTCTTGTGGCATCCCATCCTATAATACTGTCTTTTACAATAAGTTTTTGCTAGTTCGGCTTCCAATTCCTTTTCCCACCCTACCCCCTGCCTTGCATCATATGGAAAACACAGCCAATGTTTAACCATCTTTTTTTTATTGGTTTCTTACTTATGCTTTAAACATGTTTCCATGCCAAACCCATAGATATTTTATTTTGTGTGTGAGCAAATTGTAATCTGATAGATTTCACACTACATTGTTTTTTCAACCTTGGAAAAACTTTGCACTGAGTCCCCTGGGCTCTGCATCATGCTTCTGAAGCTTTTGGGGGCACAAACATGTCTTAACTATTTGCCAATTTACTGTAATTGGGCTTCATATTATGTTTGCAGGATACTGCCTTATAATAAAAAGCAATCTGTTCATAGGACAATTTTGCATCAGGTGCAGGGTGTGCTGTATTCAGAACTATGATTGGTGGTGGACAAATAGAGGCCACATGGAAGGGGCTTACATTTAATTATCACAGGCATTCTTTCTCTGATGTCATCTGTAGGGTTCATAAGGGAATGTTTATATTCTATGAGTGTTGCAAATTTATGGCCTCTTTCCCATGCTTGAACACACTGTCACCTCTGAGAGAAAAGTGAGAAATGAGTCAGAACCAGAACTCCCATGACCAGCTGGTCTTCCACACTCCTGGGTTACTTCCTATGACAGCAAGACGTAGCTCAACACGTAAGCCAGGCAACCTCCCCTCCCTATCAAGAAGCCCAAGATGAGAGGTCATAAATGTAGGCACTTCTATTACCCACAAATATAATTTCCCCTAAATAGCTATAATATAAATATGGGTTTAGATGCCACATTTTAAAGTCTTACATAGTCAATAACCAAAGTTACATAGAAGAGAGGGAGAGTAATGGCAAGTGGAGGGTTCCTCTGATGAGTTACATGTCAACCAACAGCTCTGCAAGGCATCTGCTATTGTTTCTAGAATATGTAGAGATTTAAGTTTCACATAACTGAAAAAATAGTAAATAGTGAAACTCACAAGTCCCAGTCTGCTGGCCTCAAATCATCCCACTGCCTTATTTCTCAGACAAAATAATGTGATATTTTTCAAAGTACCAGAAAACTCTAAAGAAAAAGCATTAGTCATGGGATAGTTCCATTACAGGACTCACTTATTAATTTGTCCTTTTATTCAGCAAGTATTTGCTGTGTCCTCTGTGTTGGGTTCTACCTGCAGTGGTGGGGATATCCAGATAAATAGGATATCACCCCTGTCATCAAAGAGCACTGCACTCTAGAGGGAATACTACTCAACCATGGTAGAATGGTTTTTGGCAACTAGCTCTGGTCTGTTAAGCCCTTATGCCGATGATTGTCAAGCTTTTCCTCCCATAGAATTACTTTGCCAGACCACTTCATGTGCTGGCTGGTGGAGGGAGGAGATGATGGCTGGCCCCATGTCTGGCTTGGCAGTAAAGCAGCAGGAGTCAACCCTGAAGGGCATGGAGGCTGCTCACTGAACCCAAGAGAAGATCTCAACCCCAGGATAGTAGCTGGCTTTCTGCACTTGCATTTTAATCTATAGCAAGGACACTAAAGATAAGCCTGTGAATTATTGACCAAGGAGTATCATTTTTTTTTACCAGAAAGCTAAGCAAAAAGACTGGATAATCAATTTTTTGGAGGTGTGCTGTAACGGGGAAAGCAATAAATCTTCTGTAAGAGAAGTTGTATGTAAACTTACAGATGCTCAGAAAGAAACAAGCGTATCTAGGAAAAGAAACAATTGGCTGAGTCTCACAAAAACTTGCATCTTCTCACTTAAAGTACAGGTTAAATGTTTCTGTTTTGGGAGGATAAAGTCTTAACTGTTTGAAGTTAATTTCATGAAATATAGCTATAACTTTCCAAGAAATATTGTGGTAGCATGACCTGACAAAAAGTATGGGTCAAAAGGATCATTCTTGAGAATTAACTTTTTAAGGAATACATAACATATTTTAATGTGTAACATGTACCATGGAAACGTAGCTCAAAGTGAGTTTAGAGAAAGTCAAATACTAACTTTATGAAAAAATAAATGCATGTTATTAATTTGTTCTATAAGAATTTTTAATTTATTTTTGATGTCATAGAGATAAAATTAATACATAATTTACTTTCATCGAGATGCATGCTTGTGCCATGTATGTTAATCACAATGAAATTAAAAGGTTTAGAAGGGTAAAATATTGAATTGGTGGTCACATTAACCGTTCCAAATCCAGTAAATCATGAGAATGAACGTTAGAGCTGGTCCTTTTTTATTGAGGGTAGCAATGGAAGGAAGGTGAATACACCATTTTTATATCAACATTAATGTTAAGTATGATTTCTTCTATAATTTTAAGTGAACCCAGTCTCTCTTGAATAATAGGTGAGAAAAATCTAGCTCAATACAAGTAATCTATTTATAGTAAATATCCAAAATATCCACTTTTGACAATAAAAAAAAAAGATTTCAGTCCACCTCTCAGAAAATATGTAATTGGATAATACTGAAATTGAATCAATTAAGTCACTTTAACAGGCATTCTACATAAATGAATTGGATCTGCTATATGAACTAGACTCATAGCTGTCACTGTGGCCAGATTCTTTCTGACAGTTATATTTGGGGTCTGGAGACCAGATTCTCCAGAGAAGCAAGAAAAATGTTAGAAAACATGCATTCCTCTTGCCCAGTGAATTTTAATTGAGTGTTCAGATTATTACCCAACTCCTTCCCATCAGTGATGACACAGGCACACTAGTTAGATGTGGGATATGAGGAGAGCCATATGCAGTTCCTGATAAAGGAAAGGTTCCTCAATGTGTTTGCCAGCATCGTGATCTGAGATGATTTGTAGAGGAAGGGACAGACAACGTTTTGAACTTTTGGCATAACAACAATAAATCCACAGAATTTTATTTCTTGTTCAGGTGAGTGACAGGAATTAGATTTGCCTTCCTGCTTGGAACAATCAAAAATATATGATACAATGATTTGGCAGACATTGCATATCAGGCAATGGAGAGCTCAATCTTTGAGATATATCAGAGTAGATCTCAATCTTTGAGGGGTGAGAGAAAAACAAGATAATCCCTAAAATTGCTCAAGCTTACTGCATCAAGAGAGTTTTCAGCACTAAATTCCCTCCCCTGGTGCTGGGAGGGAAACCCAGAAAGAGTTTGGCAAGTTTCATGAGCTGAAAAGATGTAGCTTGTAGTTGAGCCACAGTGGGGGAGGCCAAGGCAAGCTACATTTTGGAGGCAGCAAGACAGAAGTGACTCATCATGTACAAGAGATCCTCAATAAGATTATAAACTAATTTCTCAGCAGAAAATTTGGAGGCCAGAAGGCAGTGAGTTGATTTATTCAATGTGAGGAAAGAAAAATAAAACCTGTCAACTGAGAGTTCTGTATCTGGCAAAGCTGTCCTTCAAAATTAAGGGAGAAATTAAGACATTTCAAAATAAAAGCTGAATGGGGGGCTTGCCCTTCTAGAAATGCTAATGGGACTCCTTCAGGATGAAATGAAAGAAAGCTAGATGGTAACTTAAAGCCATGTGGAGAAATAAAGATCTCCATTGAAGGTAAATACATGGGCAATTATAAAAGCTAATAGTATTGTAATTTTGGGTTGTAACTCCACTTATTTTTTTTACAGGATTAAATACACACACACATATATTAATATATACAAGGTTGGTGCAACGCAGGGCGTGGTGGCTCACACCTGTAAGCTGAGCACTTTGGGAGACGGGTGGATCACTAGGTCAGGAGATCAAGACCATCCTGGCCAACATGGTGAAACTCTGTCTCTACTAAAAATACAAAAATTAGCTGGGCATGGCGGTGTGCGCCTGTAGTCCCAGGTACTCTGAGGCAGGAGAATTGTCTGCACATTGGAGGTGGAGGCTGCAGTGAGCCGAGATCGCACCATTACATTCCAGCCTGGGCGACAAAGCGAGACTCCGTCTCAAAAAAAAAAAAAAAAAAAGTTGGTGTGCATTTTTTTATTTTTGTTTTTTATTTTTTTGCCATTACTTTTAATGGCATAAAACACAACTGCTTTTGCACCAACCTAATATACATGAATGTACATTTATCTGCTATAGTTTGGATGTTTGTCCCCTCCAAATCTCATGTTGAAATTTGATCTCAAAGGTTAGAGGTGGTGCCTAATCAGGGGTGTTTGGGTCACGGGAGCAGATCACTCATGAATAGATTAATGCCCTCCATGAAGGGTTGGGGAGGGAAAGTGGGTGAGTTCTTGCTCTATTACTTGCCTCGAGAGCCAGTTGTTAAAAATAGCCTGGCACTTTCTCTGTTGTTTTCTTGCTTCTTCTCTCACCCTGTGATCTCTAAAAACACTGGCTCCCCTTCAACTTCTGCCATGAGTGGAAGCAGCCTGAGGCCCTCACCAGGAGCAGATGCTGGCGCCACACTTCTTGTACAGCCGGCAGAACTGTGAGCCAAATAAACCCCTTTTCTTGATAAATTTCCCAGCCTCAGGTATTCCTTCATGGCAACATTAAACAGACTAAGACATTATGTTGATTGTGATGATGGTTTCAATGGATGTGTTTATGGCAAAACTTATCAAATTGGACACTATAAATATGTGCAGTTTACTGCATATTATTTATACCTCAATAAAGCTGTTAAGAAAAACTCAACAATGAGTAACAAGCAAGTTTATTAAAACGTTTGTCAAGTTGTCTTAGCAGAAAGCTTTTGTAGCAAATTCTGTAGGGAAAATTTAAAAGTATCTTGCTTCTCATTTTAAGAGCTAATCTCTTATCCTTGAGTCATGGCTACTTGGAGCTAAAAAGCAGATAAAACAGCAAAAGTTACTGCATAAGCAACATTCTGAACTTCAACAATCCAAGTAGTTATGAGGCAATATATCTTGGTATATTTATTCTCAAAATACTTCACAAAGCAGCCAAATTGGCTTATCTACAATCAAACTGAAAAATTAATGAGGTGTTGCTGCAATAAATTAAAATACAGAACATGGATGAGGATCTTAACTCTTAACAAACAAGATGATCACACTTTCCAATAAAAAGTTTGATAGCTAAATAATTGTTTTATTTCAAAATGAGGTTTCTCAAAAGATCTCTTTAGATTTCATTTCTTATACGCTCACACTTTCCAATAAAAAGTTTGATAGCTAAGTAATTGTTTTATTTCAGAATGAGATTTCTCAAAAGATCTCTTTAGATTTCATTTTATACGCTGTTCTCTTAACTTGAAAAAAGTCAATCTTTCTACTTCAAGAAATTTACCACCACTAATTTGCTATTAATTTCTAAACTTGAAAGCACCTAAATGTACTATTCAGCCATAGTTTGTGATATGTCCATACATAATGATCATTTGGAGCAAATTTAGAAAAAAATTTAACTGTGAACCATGCCTAATCTTTATCCACTTCGTATTTTGAAAGACTAAATGTAGAAAGGGTAATTTTTTCACATAGCAAGCATTCATTGGTACCTCGGGCATGCTGACATGCTACTTGATACTGAGAGACACAAAGGTCAATGAGATACAGTTTCCGACCTCGAGTTGCCAGGTGAATTCTCCAGCAGTGCTCCCTGCCAGGGTTCAAATGCTATGCATCCAACAAGAGTAGCTCACTCCACACCCATTAGGTCCAGACCAATGGGCTACCTCATGGTGTTATGGCTACAGATGTCCCTCATGCAGGCTCAAATTGCTGAGCTTCCAAACCTCTATGTGACAAAGTGCAAAGGCTGGTTTACCACGAAGTTGTTCTGGAACAGGATGGTAGGAAGGGAGTCTTCATAAACATTCCAGGAAGGCTGTAGAAACATATTACTATGTCGGCTTACTATGTTATGAAGGTGATTATGCCCAGTGTAGGTCATAAGGGCACAGCCTTAGAAGTCAGAGAGAATTGGGCTCAAACCCTGGTTCTGTCATTTAATAAAGGTGTGGGCTGGGCACAGTGGCTCACGCTTGTAATCCCAGCACTTTGGGAGGCCAAGGAGGGCGGATCATTTGAGGCCAGGAGTTCGAGACCAGCCTGGCCAACATGGCGAAGCCCCATCTCTACCAAAAAATGCGAAAATTAGCCGGGTGTGGTGATACATGCCTGTAGTCCCAGCTACTTAGGAAGCTGAGGCATGAGAATCACTTGAATCTCGGAGGCGGGAGTTGCAGTGAGCCGAGACTGCACCACTGTGCTCCAGCCTGGGTGACAGAGTGAGACTGTCTCAAAAGATAAAATAAAATAAAATAAAATAAAAATAAAGGTGGCTTTTCTGCATTGTTTAAAATATGAACATAAAAATAACAGTACCTACTGGCCGGGCACGGTGGCTCACGCCTGTAATGCCAGCACTTTGGGAGGCCGAGGTGGGTGGATCACGAGGTCAGGAGATCCAGACCATCCTGGCTAACATGGTGAAACCCCGTCTCTACTAAAAAATACAAAAAAATAGCTAGGCGTGGTGGTGGGTGCCTGTAGTCCCAGCTACTCGGGAGGCTGAGGCAGGAGAATGGCGTGAACCTGGGAGACAGAGGTTGCAGTGAGCCAAGATGGCACCACTGCACTCCAGCCTGGGCGACAGAGGGAGACTCTGTCTCAAAAAAAAAAAAAAAAAGTACCTACCTCATAGGGTTATTATGAGAATTAAATGAGAGATGCAAGACACTCAGCAAGTGCTTCATACAAAGTAACTGACCAAATAATGACGGCACTTTCTAGTCAGGTCACAAGCACCTAAAAGTAGATTGCTTAAAACCAAAATTTGTTTGAAATCACAGTTTAAAGACGAGATATGGGACAAACTATATTTACATGTTATTATAGTTTTAATTAAATGATGAATGTCTAGTTAACTATGAGGACAATGTATTTAACTAATGTATTTAACAAATACCTCTTTATAGTTCTTAATACATACCAGACACCATTTTACAAATATTAATCCATTTAATATTCATAACCTATGGGGAATAATTATTATTATAATTTTTCCCATTGTGTGTGTGTGTGTATATATATATATAAACACACACACACACAACTTCAACTATGTTTAAGGAACATGTTTTGTTTCACTGGGAGAATACCAAGAAACACAATTAAATAATACTAATTTTTTCCAGAGACAGGATTTATTTTTTTGTTTCAGTAATACAAGGATGGTGGTTAGGCTTTTAAGAGACTATGAAAGAGGAGTTATTTGGTTGGATTAGATTTTACTAAATTACTAGATTCCACACAAACTGGAAATCAGTAAAGACATCCTGACTTAACCCTCACATGTAGCAGTTTAATAATAATAATAAAAAAATCACATACATGTGTTTCTACAGAAAATTCCAGGGGGAACATGGAACTGACATTCTTTGGTTGATTGCTAGTTACCAGGATGGGTAGCCCTCGGGCACACTGTCTTACTAATTTCTACCACACTGCTCTGCAGCAGGTAAAGGAGCCCCATTTTCAAGACCAGGACCCCCACATTAATTAAGAAACATTACCCAGTGTCTCTCAACAATGAAAAGCAAACTGGGTCTCTGAAGGACATACTGAATAGAAACTGAAGTCTCTCATGTCTTCAAAAGTTAAAGCTACTGACTACTTTAGGCATGTTTATTTTAAGCATCAAGGATAAAGGTCTTTTGGAGTTTCTCAAATAAATACATTTAAAGCCCATCATTTTTCTAAAGCAAAAACTAAATATTTGCAAACACCACGTTAAGAACCATGGCTACTTATACCATTAAGCCTCACTTAGTTCCTAAGCAGAGCTTCATATTCAATAATCTGTGGATGGATTGAGGCAGTGGGAGTGCCGTGGGTGTATGAAGATTGATGATGACCTTTCTGGAAAATAATTTCCCCACACATCTTATAGCCAGTGGCCACATCTGAAGCTTAGTATATTAGTCCATTGTCACACTGCTGAAAGTGACATACCCAAGACTTGGCAATTTACAAAAGAATGAGGTTTATTGGACTTACAGTTCCACATGGCTAGGGAGGCCTCACAATCATGGCAGAAGGCAAGGAGGAGCAAGTCACATCTTACACAGATGGCAGCAGGCAAAGAGAGAGCTCATGCAGGCAAACTCCCGTTTTTTAAAACCATCAGATTTGTGAGACTCATTCACTATCACCAGAACAACACAGGAAAGACCTGCCCCCATAATTCAATCACCTCCCACCGGGGATGAGATTTGGGTGGGGTCATAGCAAAACCTATCACTTAGAGTTCAAGAAAATCAAGTTTTACATTATTCTGATATATAAGGAGATAAAATACAAGGGTTTTAGGAAACAGAGAGAGAAAAGAAGCTTGAACTAAGAGTTCCTGAGAGGCCAATGTATGTCAGCAGTGTTAAATCCTGAGAGTACCAAAGCCAAAAAAGCCCATCATGGCTCTGAAGAACTGGGTCCTAGTGAGTCAGACATATGCATGAAGGGATTATTATGGCCCAATGCAGCTGGTGTTATAAAGCAAGTTTGCACAGAATAATTGCCTACAAGATAATTTTCCTTCCTTATAAAGGAAGATGGAAGGTTCTGGAAGGAGGTGCATGGGTAGGTTTAAGGGACAAACAGGAGCCAGTGAGAGCAGTGAGCAGGAGATTTCCAGCAAAGGAAACAGTATAAGGGATGGAATTGCTTTATGTGCACAGGGGAACTGCAGGCATGATGGGAGATAAGGCTAGAACTGTTGGAAATGGGGAAGTGAGTTTGAATAATAAAAATATTTGATGACTACAACAATAAAAATCAGTAGCACTTGATATGCTCTCTCCTGCTTACTACACCCACCCACTCTGGGCTGGGCACTATCTTCACCCCTATTTTATAAATAAGGAAACAGAGGTACAGAGAGTTTTAGTAAAGTTCTGCTAGGTGCTCTGCCTAGAAAATAGCAGGGCCAAGGTTCAATCTCGAGCCCGTGGACTCCAGGGAATGAGCTGTTGAGCATTAGCAGAATCCTCTTAGTGTGGTATTATTAAATCAGTGGAACCCATGTGATGCTCGCTGGCCAGATGACATGACGGCAGCCGGGGCAGGTGACTGCAGGTGAGCTGCAATCCTAGCTATGGACCCTTTAGAATGAGTCACTGAGTCTGGCTAACTGTGGGGAATTCTAGGTGCCCACAGAGGCATCTTCTCCATAAAAACTGAAAGGAAGACCGTGGAGATGCCCTTGGTGGGCAAAAGGAGAGAAATCTGGCCCAGAACACTTAATCCAGGCTGAGAGTCTGGAAGGTGCAGTGGGGAAGTCTTAGGTCACTGGGCTGGATAAACACGCAGTGCAAAGGCCCGTGGGCTCGGCGAGAAGCCACAGTTGCTTTTGTACCCAGTACAGGTGTCGTGGCTGAGTAGGACACCTCATTGCCCTGGGATCCCGGTCCCCACTACACCCACGTAGGCCCCCAAACGATACCAAGGTCCAGATGAACTCAGAGTTCAAGTATTTAAGTTCTGTTGATTTTCCACTTATCTGTGTAAAGTCAATTTCTCTTGGGGCACCTAACTCTACCTTTCAGATAAGCATAAATGAACTCTGAATGAGACCTGTAGAATAAGTCACTTCATCATTAAGCATCTTTTCAAAATGAAACCTACACTTGTTTATCATGTATCATCTGCCAACTTCACAAATTAAACACTAGAGATTAACTGCTGCCAATGCCATCTTCTAACAAAAAGGTGAAGGGAAAGTGGTAGCTTGGTTGGGTTCATTTGCATTCCTTAGCATTATAATAACGTGCTTTACATTTGTTTTTCTCCACACACTGGACCGATTTCAGATGAAGGTTTTGCCAACTGGTCTCCATTAAACACAATTTAGTCTTTCTGTGCTGTTTCTGTTTATGAAACTTCAGATCACCCCAATGCAAGACAGGCACACTCTAGCAATCTTGATGGGGTGCAAAAGTACATTCATTTCAATAACCGGATTATGTAGCCGCTTGCAAAGCAAGACCGCGGCAGACCTAACAGAAGAGCTGACTGCATTCTTTCATTTTCTAGATGACCCCACTGGCTTCTCCAAACTAGAAGAAAGATATACAGCATTGAGGCACTTATTTCTCCTTGCATATAATTGATATTTTACAACTATTATAAGAAAGTATAAACATAAATGGTATTGCACTTGGAATGCTTGTTTTTTAACTTTAGAAGAAACTCATCATGCTAGAATTTGAGGTTTTGCTGTTTCTTATTTTACATTGTTTTAACATTGACAGAAACGTGAGCTTTTCCTTCACTAAACAATTCATTTTCTAATTATCATGATTTATTGAAGTAGATGATAAAAAAGGGTAACAGGACAAATCATTGTACATTTATTTAAGAGAGAATGCTATTTTCATAGAGAATGGGCTGAGAATCTTTCCCATTCCTTCCCACCCTTCATTTTGAAACCTCACAATGTAAGGTGAAAAGCAGCAAAACAACAAACTGAACTTGAGCAAACAAGTCCGACCCCTGCAGTGACTCTTGGGAATGATCTAGAGAAAGTTCATGAGTTGGAATGAAAGCCAGTCAAGGATTAAAAGAGACAACTTAACGAATTGTTCAAAGTTGCATGCTCATTTCAGTGCTGAACATATGCTAAATGTTCATTAGTAGGATCTAGAAATAAATCTATAGGTTCCAAGTGTTTACATTATGATGAAGGAAATCATAGGCATCCATTTCAGCCTCCTGCCATCCCCTCCACTCTAAGTACTTCAGAACTTTAAACTGAATTATCCAGATCACCACAAGATAAGCAAACCAACAAAAAGCCCTCTTTTTGTCAAGAAGTGTCTTTAGAAGAATTCACCCAAGGATTCCTTTTTTTTGAGACAGAATCTCGCTCTGTCACCTAAGCTGGAGTGCAGTGACACGATCTCAGCTCACTGCAACCTCTGCAATCTCTGCCTCCTGGATTCAAGCAAATCTGCCTCAGCATCCCGAGTAGCTGGGTCTACAGGTGTGTGGCACCACGCCCAGCTCATTTTGTATTTTCAGTGGAGACGGGGTTTTGCCATGTTGGCCATGCTGGTCTCAAACTCCTGCCCTCAGGTGATCCACCTGCCTTGGCCTCCCAAAGTGTTGAGATTACAGGCTTGGGCCACTGCGCTTGGCCCCTCTCCCAATCCAGAATTTCTTTAGGTATCTTCTTCACAAGGACGCAGGCTGTGATGTGCGGCCAAACTATTAAAATTGGCTTTTAACTGAAAGCACCACCAAGTAGAAAAACTCAAGTTTATCACGTACAGGTGTGTTTTAAAGCCTCTCAGAGGCCACAGATTCCCAGTAGTGAAACAGGAATTGAGTCCTCCCGCCCCCGGCTCCTTTGCTTTGCTCAGGGCACCATCTGCATCGTTAACGCAGGATGCCTATAGGACAGAAGCCGCCCAAGGATCCCTGAACCGTAAACGGGGCCAGCCCTACAAGTAGGAAACGCATGAGGATATGCACACCTCGAGCTGGGGGAAACCGAACATCAGCCTCATAACATTAATTCTTCCATTCTTGCTTCCTGTCTTGCAAACTGTAGTGTTTGCTGTCTACTGAAATTCCCTATGAAAATACAAAACCTTTGGAAGAAATTACTTTGCATTAGCTGAGGCAAATTTTGTTTAGTTCACCATTTTTCTTCGGGAGACCTGCCAGACTAACAGCTGCCATAGGGCTCTATTCTTTTAAACAGACTGTTTTGAATGGTATATTACTGGTCTTAGATTTAGTTATGTGGATACACTTGAAGCTTTCTTCTGCTGGATCAACTTCTGAGTGTGGTCACTGAGTTTTGCAGTTATTGTTATAATAGACTACAGCACTTCAGATTTGGGAAGAATAATCTCAATTTCAGACCCAGTATCTTAACCTCCCCTAAGTACACCTATCTCTGTCACATAATAAGTCCTACATTTTGTTTTGGAAAATATGCTCGTGCCACACCTGTGTGCATAAACGGAAGGGAATCACTAATTCTCACCCTCTCCTGGATAAAAGTAATGCAAAAACTCAACCACATGTGCAGATGAAACTGGAAGGAAGCACGTGATTTTTTGGGACCATGGGGTGAAAAGAAGGGATTACTCTAGAGAAAAATGAAACTCCAGCCCTGTGCCACACATCGGCGTGGAATTTCAGTTTATACCATATGCATGGGGAGGGCATCGCAAACCGGTAAGCTAGTTAACATTATGTTGGCCTAGGACCTGGACACCTGTGCATCCTCCAGCAGAAGCAAGCACCCCCACAGCCCTGCAAAGGCTCTTTCACAGCTGCGAGAATGTGGGGTTGCAACTTGCTCATCATTAAGTTTTGTTTAGATTTAGAAGTAATGTGGGCACTTGTTGCAGCCTTATTCATGAGAACAAAAATGAGAAATCATCTACGTGGTTAAAACTCAGGGGTTGACTAAATTCTAATATAGCTACACAATCACTTTGCACTCTATGAAAATTACATTTTAGAACATTTTATAACATAGGAAAATACACAGTTTGCATAAATACAGCAAATTATAAAATAGTATGTGCAATATGATTCAAAATTTGTTTGTAAAAAGTACCTATAGACATAAGAAAGATTCTGAAAAAAATTTGGCTAAAAAGCAATAGTATTTATTTCTGGGAATAAGGATTACATTTTAAAGTGTTTTTTCTTATTATTTTATTTTTCCAAATGACCAAAAAACATGTGTTTAGTATAACAGTGTGACAAAAAATATCAATTCAATATTTCTAAAAATAAGGTTAATTCTCACCAGAGAGCACATTTGAAAGCTTTTTTACCAGAAGATAAAAATTGCTTGGACTGTTTTAAGGGCAGCTTTATCTATCCAGGAAGTGAGACAGAAGGGCTGGAGTCTCCGTGGTTATGAAATTTGTGATAAACACCCACCCATGGTGATTTTCTTTATTTCTATGTTTGTTTCCTTCTTTCTCTTTTTCTTTTCTTTTCTTTTTTTCTTTTATCTTTTTTTTTTTTTTTTTGCCAGTCTGCAGTTTGTTTTCTTCCAACTCAGAGTTTGGGGTTAATAACAATACACTGAAATTATGCCCTAGGATAAAGCTATGGTTTAAATATGCTAATTTCCATGTTTTAAAGGAATAAAATGTAATGTCCTGTTATCGGCAAGTTAATGGGGAGGAAATCTACAACAAGGAACTTTACATACTGCATTGTTTAGCTCACATTTTCTATTCCCTGATAAGCAACTTAACTTCCAATGTCTTACTCTATGAGATTATAATAACAGACCTTTTAAACTGTTAAGGGGATGATGTACCGAAATGTCTGTAATAAATTATAATTTTACTTTTATGACAATTCAAATGAAGAGCAAATATGATGTTATTACACTATTAGAACTGTTAATATCTTTACCATAAGATGATAAATTATAGCCCCTGCGCCAAGTGTAGTTCAGTGCTTGTTTTGGTGCCATGTATGAGCTAATAATGATTTTTACATTTTTAAATGGTTGGGGAAAAATTTAAAAAAATTTTCATTAAATGTAAAAGGAATATGAAATGCAAATTTGTATTTGTAGTTTTACTGAAATACAGCCATGATCATTTTACATGGTGCCCAGCTGATTTCACATTATAATGACTTCTTGAAAGAACTGTGACAAAGAGCATATGGTTCTCAAAGCCTTAACTATTTACTAAGCTTTACAGAGAAAGTTTGCCTGATCTAGTATTTTCGAGGTGGTTCTGAATATTCTTTGTATTTTCTACCCTCAGCCGCTAGATGGCATAAAAGATCCTTAAGCCAGTAGAAAGAATAAACCAAAAACCAAAAAACTTCTGCCCTACAGAGGATATTTACATTTTCAATTAAGTCATCCTCTAAAAGGCAGTTCTTTCAGCAGTACAAAACTTTTTGCTATATGTGTTCAACAAACTAAAAATTAAACGTTTAAAGGAAACTAAAAGCATTAATTTAGTCTAGAAATAATGTCTGCACTGAAATTTAGCTTTTATTCACTTCTGCCTGGAGTAAATATTATGTGAATATGCACTATTAAAGAGGCTCCCCAGTTTTACTGTGTCTATACAAAATTCTTTTCTTATTAGACTGAATTTCACTTCTCCAGTTGCCAGGCTAATACAATCAACTGAGCCAACTGGATTTAGAATAAGGTGGGAATGTGTGTGTGTGGATGGGTGTGTGTGTGTGTGGGTGTGGATGCTTGTGTCCAGCACCAACTTTTACTTATTTTAACTGAATTTAAGTGGTCTTAAAGGATTTGACTGAATAGCTCTCTATAGCATGTGCCCTCTCTCTCTCTCTTTTTGTTAGCACTGTATAGACACAGTCAGCCACAACTAGTTTTACCACGGCCAAATTTTACACATAAATCAATCAAAGCAAGGCCACTGGGCCCTCTCACACATTCTGTCTTTATAATTTACGATCACATTAAAACCACATTATGATGTCTTGAAAGGATGCAAACCTGTATTGCTGGTATGGTAATAATATTCATGTTCTTTTAAATTGCAGGTTCCTCATTTCTCAACAAGAAGACAAAAAGCACTACATTACCATCCAGAGGCACAGCAGAGAGAATTCTGGCACCGTCTTCACCTAACACTCACACCCTCTTCTACTGTTACAGAGGTAAGTGGTCAGGCATGAGTGGGGCAGGAGAGGGCACCCCCCACCCACCAACCGGGAACGTCAGGAGACCATAAGGTGATAGTCAGGAGGTTTTTACACTGTTTCTCTAAAATAGTAATTGGTTGCAGCTGGGGGCTTGGGAAGGCAGTCTCCCAATATACAGAAAAAAAACAAAACTGGTGATCAACAGTTTCCCGATAAGACTTCAGGAGTTGGGTGAGTGGGCTCAAGCATGTGCAGTAAGAGGTAAAATGGCGGAGTTTAACTGGTACATGACCTTGTAGGAGCATTCGGTGAGGGAAGAGCACTTCAAGTGAGCGAAGAGCACTTCAAGTGAGCATGCGCACAACTCCAGTAAACAGACTACATGCAGCCCCTCCCAAGGGCTGGCAGGCCACTGTGCATGCAGACAGCCCACCCCCAGGGAAGAATCAGGGGAAAAGGGGCCCAAGACCCCGGAATCAAGCCAATGTATAAAACCCCAGTCAAAGGTCAAACCGTGCACTTGATCTCAAGTCGCCTGCTTAGCCCACTTCCAAGTGTACTTCACTTCCTTTCATTCCTGCTCTAAAGCTTTTTAATACATTGTCACTCATTCCTGCTCCAAAACTTGCCTCAGTCTCTCCTGCCTTATGCACCTCAGTAGAATTCATTTTTCTAAGGAAGCAAAAATTGAAATTGCAGCAGATCCATGGGAATTCGCTGTCAGTAACATACTTTGGTGCTGCGAGACTCAGATGTGTTTCACTGCTAACATTACCATTTCTGTCCCCTTTCTTTTTTCTGGAACTGTCAATTATGAACCTTTCCTCATGCAAAGAAAAGTTCAAATAGGACAGTGGATAACCCTATACTGATCACCTAGTTTAAATAATTTGATTTGTCTTCTCTCTGTTAACTATTCCTATGTATGTATGTATCTATCAATCTATTATGTTGGTTGTTAAGCCATTTTTAAGTTGCAGACATCAAGGCACAGCTTATCTAAATAACTCACCATGTATCTCCTAAAATAATGGCATTTTTCTGTCTACCCACAAAACCATCATACACCTAAGAAATCAGCAATAATTCTATAGTCCAATATCCAGTGAACATTGAAATTTCTCCAATTTAACCCCAAAAAAGTTTTAAGAATTTGTTGTTGAACCAGGATCTGATCTACAGCTGTGCTTCACACAGGTTTAAGTATCTACTGTGCTCCTCTGAACTAGACAGTTGCTGCCTCCACTCTCTATGCAGGCCTCTTTTCCATGCTGATTTTTTTTTTAAAGACCCATTCATTTGCCTTGCAGAATCCACATTTTGAATTCTTTTGATTGTTTTTCTTGTGGAGCTATTTAAACTGTTTCCTAGCCTTTATATTTTCTGTAAATGGGAGGTTAGGTCAAAAGTCTTAACCATATGATGCTGTATAGCTCATCTGTTGCATCACACTGAGAGGTGTGAAATGTTAAGCTATCTCAGTTTTGATCATGTTGACTTCAATCAATTCCTCAAGATATTGATCACACCTTTGGAAAGATGTTATTTTTTTTCTTTGCAATTAGCAAGCACCAACAAGGTTCTACTTTGTCATTGTGCAACCACCACGACCTTTATAGTAATTATTTCAGGTGTGGACATAATAGAACATATCATTAAGGATTGATGAATAGTAATTCTCTAATTCTATTATTCCTTTGCCCTGTCATTATCTAACATCATCCTGCATGGAGGAATTTTCTCTCATTCACTGAGAATGACTTATTAAAAGTCAAAGTAAATGCTAGATTCTTTACCTTTAATTCTCATTTTCATAGTAAGGATTTGGTGTAATAGTCATCTCCAATCGAAGCAAAGTATTTGATGTTTCTCCCTTTCTCTCTCACACCAGAGACTTATGTATTTTCTTATTTATTTGTTTGTTGGTTTGTTTGCTTTGAGACAGGGTCTCACTCTGTCACCCAGGTGGGAGTGCAGCGGTGTGATCATGGCTCACCGCAGTCTTGACCTCCCAGGCTCAGGTGACGCTCCCACTTCAGCCTCCTGAGTAGCTGGGACCACAGGTGTGCGCCCTCATGCCCAGCTAATTTTTTTTGTAGAATGGGGTTTCACCATGTTGCCCAGGCTGGGACTTTTATTTTTAAGCTTTTACAATTAGTTAATGTTTCTGACGCTTAATTTGTTCTCGTATATTAGGCCCATGAAACGCCTTTCTAGCTGGATGCTGTGGCACATCCTTATTGTTCTTCGGTGTAAAATGTTCTTCCTGATCTTCTTCCCCAGCTGAGACTCTGTGTCTTATTCCTACACATGACAGCTCCCTGTCCTCCTGCATCCCAGCGGCATCTCCATCTGAAGAGACCACTGTCTTCCTTCCAGACTGTGTCATCCAATACAATGAAAGTGCTAGACTGCTTCACCCACCCCCACAAAATCTTTGCTTAACACAGCAATTGCCTGCCATCAAGAATAACCCCTGTAAATTCACAATGCCAAACCAAGGTCCCAAAGGCGTGGGGGGACAACCTCTCCTGGAAATGCCATAAGGATTTCTCTTACCTTGCATAGTAGTCATTGGGTGGAACTGCCTCTTGAAAGAATTGGAACTGGTATAAATAAAGTCCAATCAAATGTCCAGCAGTGAAAATAGCCAGCAGAACACAGAGACAGCTGAACAGCAATGGGTCGAACGTCCGGCACCAGGACCACCAGGTGCACAGACCCAAAAATACAAAAAAATACACAGATGATGTCAAAGACGGCAACATCATGCCTAAGGAAGAGAAACGTAATCACAAAGTCAGGTAGAACTGGAAATTCACTTATCATTCAGTGAATGTGACTATTTGAAATTATGTGAATTTCCTTCAAGTGTTTTTAGGTTTTTTAAAATAGTAATTTTTAAAAATCATGTTTGATTTATATAATAAAAATTAATGCTAGATTTATTGTGAAAAAGTCACATATGAAATGATAACTATAAATACAAAGATATACCAGATGATTAAAAAAATTCCACCTGTGGCGTCTGAACTAAGTAAATGTCTACTTTTCATACCAGTAGCATCTGCATATTTACTTGCCTGTTTCCATCTTTCTACTTCTCCCAAATTTTCAAGAATTCATGTATCTGTATGTCTGTTCCAACCTTTCCTGACACCATTTTCTTTATAATAATTTACTACTTTTTTTTTTTAAGTTAACTAGTACATCCTGGCCAATTAAACTCTCACTGTGCCATGCTTATTTTATTTTATTTTGTTTTGTTTTATTTTATTTTATTTTTTGTAGGGATGGGGTTTTGCCAAGTAGCGCAGGTTGGTCTTGAACTCCTGGGCTAAGTGATCTTCCCTCCTTGGCCTTCCAAAGGGCTCGGATTACAGGCATGAGCCACTGCTCCTGGCCAATAACTCCTTTAAAAGTGTTTTTAAGGAATCATAAATAAAGCCATCACCTTAGGGCAAAAGGAGTCTGTTTTATTGGGCATTTTGAAAGGACTCCTCATTAAAATGTTGTGGTTTATTTCTTGAGAAATTCTACTGTCATTTCCCCCATTTTTCCCACTATTAAAAAACAGCTAAGTTGCTGCATCTTTGCAGTTTGCTTGAGTCTACTCTAATACGCCTCCCATAGCTCCGGGGCAGTGGTGAGCAGTGGAATGGAAGGAGGGAAAAGATCAAGATAACATTATTATGGAATAAGCGGTCCAAGTCCAAAATTTAAAGGAAGTGAGCGTCTGTGCTGGAAGATTACAATCTAACTTAGGAAGAAAAATAGTCTATCCTGGAGAGTTATATTAAGGTGACTATGGACTCATGTAAGCAGACAGACCTCCAGAACCCACAATATGGCTTGTGATGGGTGCATGCACATTGTTAATTGCAGCAGGTCACCATTCCAAAGCTCTAAGGAAGAGGATTGTTGTTATTCTAATCTAAACCTAGAAAATGGAGTCGCTTAGCATATATAGAAAAAGATTATTTTGCAGAGGTTAACAGAAACCATCTAAAAACATCAAAACTAGAACTAACCCGGAAAAATTATTTTGTGTGGTTTGTACATGTGGCCAGTTTTACAAGAGCTACAGTTATGATATTCATGTGGTGGAACAGACTGTTTCCTTCATTTCTTCTTCAACCATTTCTCTCATTCACCAAAGCACTGCTTGTGCCTTTTGCTACGTGCAGCCAGTGTGGGAGACACTCACCCGAGGAGCCCAGTAAGATGGTAACAACGACTTTCCCAGCAGTGGTGATCATGTTGCCAATGAACTCCTTGAGCTTAGAGGCCACAGAGGCAAGCCTGCGGAACATTTTTAACTTCGTGCTTTCTTCCAACTCGCCTTCAACACCATCTCCTCCATTGAAATCCTCTTCATAGATCAGTGCCTCTTCTGAATCAATTTTTTCTCCTTCAGCCTAAATAAATGACAAACAGGAAACACTCAAGTCCAGGAGCCTGCCTATCCAGCCAGCAGATTATAGAGCTTCTAATTCATGGGTCAGTCAACGTGGTGAATTTCACAGATCAGGAAAAAAGGGAAGACAACCAGTTCATTCCCCTCAGGTCTCTGATAATCCCCGTATAAGCCCAAGTAACTCTGATCTTTCTGGAAGAAGTAAACATAACAATTATAGGGTCCCTAATAACATGTCATATTCCCTATTTGTGCTTTTTTTTTTTAATAAGCAAAGAAGAAACTCTCTGAAACATCTATTAACAAGTTTAGTTTAGATCGATCTGGGTTTGGATCTTCAAATTTACAGAGTTGGCCACCAAGGTGATAAGAAGTTTGATAAAACTATCCACAGCTTCGACTGAAAGGTGAGTCCAATCAATGCTTAGGAAATTCTGGTTTTTTTCTAAGTTTATCTTTGTTCACTATTTCCATATTTCCTGACTGTGGAAGGATGAGTGGTCCCGGGCTTCTCTTGGCTAAATATAGAGCTGCTTCCTGTCTCATCCTTTTAGAGAATGATACGCTGGTTCAAGCCTCGGCAGCTCAGCACCTAAGTGCTTTAAGCAGAGATTTAGGGAGTAAACACATGTACCAGAACATATGCATATTTCCATGTATTATTTTAAACTGGGTATGCTAAGGCATTTTTGCTTGTTCGTTTTGCGTTTAAAGAATAAATGGGAAAAATTCTTTGGCTAATTAGAATATTTCCCTAGAAGGGTTACGACTTTTTCTTTTTTCTTTCTTTCTTTCTTTTTTTTTTTTTTTAAAGAAATCATAAATAAGTGGCTGGGTGCGGTGGCTGACTCCTGTAATCCCAGCACTTTGGGAGGCTGAGGCGGCCAGATCACGAAGTCAAGAGATCAAGACCATCCTGGCCAACATGGTGAAACCCCGTCTCTACTAAAAATACAAAAAATTAGCTGAGTGTGGTGGCACGTGCCTGTAGTCCTAGCTACTCAGGAGGCTAAGGCAGGAGAAAATTGCTTGAACCTGGGAGGCGGAGGTTGCAGTGAGCCGAGATTGTGCCACTGCACTCCAGCCTGGCGACAGAGCGAGACTTCAACCCAAAAAAAAAAAAAAAAAAAAAAAAAAGAAAAGAAAAGAAGAAAATAAATCATAAATAAAGCCATCACCTTAAGGCAAAAGGAGTCTGTCTGAGATGCATGAAACTTTGTGTGCATTTTTCTCTAGGCTGACAGACTTCATATCTTTAGTCTCACAAAGCTAAGAAGAATTGTTAAGCCCAGTTCAGGCATCTATTTAAGACTTAAAGAGTAGGGTCTGGCCTCTCCATGTTCCCATTTTTAATGGTTCTTTTTTGATATATTTAGGTCAGATAGTTACATAATATTCACTGACGGTGTCTGACCTCTTACTATGACCAAGTTCACGGGAGGAAGGCAGGGACTGGAGTGCCAGTGCCAAGTTCTAGTTAAGCGTAAAGCGGCCTTCAGGACTCAGAGGCCTTTTGTGTGCCCAGAAGGGTGCACACAGTGGGTGACTGGAGTTGACTATTGATGAGCCAAGGCTACAGGATGCACCCAGCCAGCCCTCCACCCACCTACACACACCCACAGGGATTTAATCCTGGGCCACTTCAACTTGACTTCTACTGTATTTCATCATGACACATTTGTATATTTTTTTCTGAAGCAAAAGGAACATCTCATGCTCAATCAATAAGATTTTTCTACCCATACAGGGCCTAGTGTGTCCTAGCATATATAGGAAGAGATATAGCAATAAACACGTAAACAAGTAAAATATTAACCAGCTAAATATCTCACAGTAATGAATGCCCCCTTCAGGGAGGTCGAATAGGGTGATGTGGTAGTGATAAACTGGGTGGCTGTTTCCGATTCAGAGGTCAAGGAAAGCCTCTCTGAGGAGGTGACATTTAAGCTAAGATCTGAATGTCACAAAGTTACCAGCCCTGTGAAAGTCCTGGCAAAGTGCATTCCGGGTGGAGGAAAGAGCTGGTCCAAGGCTTGGTGGCATGTGCAGAAAGAGGGTAAGTGTCCCCAGGCCCGTGGCCACTTCCGCTCCCCTAGAGAACAATTCCCATCTCATTCTCAGAGGATGACCTTGCTTTCTACTGCTCCCAGAGAGGAGCTGCCAGCTCCAGCCAGTACATCAGACCACTCACCTGCAGCTGGCCTGCCACGCACGCACTCTGCCCTCCTCCTGTAACAAGACAAGCTGCATATGCTCCAGCCATGATGACTGCATCCCATCTGCTCAGGACACCAGGGAGAGAACAGCCCAGCCATCCTGGCTCTCTCTCCTGCATCACAATGTGCTTTCTTTCTGCTGGATCACCCCTGTTAACAGGCAAGGGCGCCTTGCTGTCTCACCTTAAAGAAACACATCCTTTCAACCCACGTTTGTCTCTTAAGGTGAAACACTCCAGCAGAGTGGGCTGGACTCACCATTCCATTTAGAGTAAAAATGCTTCCCTACCTAATTTCTCTTGAACCTACTCAAATCAGACTTTGATCTTCAACCACTCCGTCTAATGAGAGGCACACATGATTTGCTTTGCCACATAACTCTAGTTGCTCCTGGGGCGGAGCAGAGGGAGGCAGCAGCGGGGAGGTGGTGGCTGTGCTGGAGGAGAGGGGAGGGAGTGGTGGGGCTGAAGTGAAGATCCTGTCTTTGGAGTCTGTTTTGGAGGTTAGATTAGTAGGTGCAGCTAGGAAGTTTAAAGTGGGGAGGAAGGATAGATGATAATCAGGGTAGCTCCTCTATTTTTGTCTAGGGAGGACAGACAGGAGGGAGGCAGATTGGAGACGGAGAGTCCACATTTCTGTTTTGAAAATTCAGTTCTGAGACCCCATTCAGGCATTCTTCTTGGAGGTATCCAGTAGGCAGCTATTATAGGAGTCTGGAGTGTTGGAGAGGGGCTGGAGCTGAAGAGGGCTTTTTGGAATTCGCCAGCATATGATGGTTTAAACGTCAGTAGCCTGTTGAGGTTACCTGGAGGGAATACAGAGATGGCCCTCCTCGAGGTGCTGCTGCCCCTAAGACCACTCTGCCTTTCCAGATCTATGCCATCTCCTTGCCTGTCAGCATTCCTTGCAAGAAATGACTAGCAGAATCCATAATCCACAAGCTCTCTTTGCCTCTTTGCTGTGGGACAGGTTGTTCCCACCCCTTAGGATGCCTTCTCCAGCTCCTAAGGCCCGGGTCCCAGGGCAGCTCTTCCATTCAGCTTACTCCATCTCCCCACAAAGAAATCCACCCACCAGAGCTATCGCCAGGACACCCACACCATCGTCAACACACAAATGACCTGCTCATCAGGCATCTGTTGCTTCTTTCCCCATCACAACAGGTGAGCAACACATTTAAAATCTCCCTCTAGGAAGGAAGTTTGGCCAAAACCTTTAGTCATTGCACTTGAAAAAGAAGCCAAAGAAAGAACACAGCAAGGGCCTCCTGGGTCACAGTCAGAAACACACTTGTGACTTTCATAATAAATGTGTTCTTATTCAATTATAGAATTGCTACGGATGTAGATTAAATCAAATAGAAATCTCTGATCAAGATGTCTTTGTGAGGTTATACAAATGCATTTCCCTGACCTGTCTTAGGAAGGATTGGGCCTTTGTGATTTTTATAAACATACCACTGTACTTTAGGGTTTTCAGCATTTTTATACAGAAATCCCTGGGGCTGTCGGTTGGAAATACTTTTTAAATTTGCCAAGCTGAGAGCCAAGAGCGAGACGGGTTAGACTCTGTGAGCCCCTACTGTCCTGGTAGGTCAGGGCCAGAACTGCCATTAGTCACGTCAGGCTGGCTTATTAACAGGCAGGCTTTTTCCCCCAAAGTGATTCTTCTGCTGATGTATAAACACTGAACCTCTGAAAGAGCATGGACTCACTCTCGCATGTTTACTAACAGGCAGTCTTGCTTGCTGGAGCTGTAAGCTGTCCCTGCAGCGGAACAGAACTTCAATCTGGCCTTGAGGCTAAGGAGGAGGAAAGGCTGTAAATAAAGATTTAACTTCCCTGGTTCCTGAGTCATCTTAGAAACTGAAGACAAAATAAACTCTTTACAGTTTAAAAAGTCAAATAAATGATTATACAGATTATTGACCATGTCAAAATCTAAAACTTATTTAAAGATATTTAAGTCCTTTATCTCACCTCTTTAAAAGTTTATGATTTTAACAGGAAATCTTGTTATTTGCAACAACATGCATAAATCTAAAGAAGAATATGCTAATTGAAATAAGCCAGGCACAGAAAGACAAATACGGCATGATCTCACTTATACGTGGAATCTAAAGAAGTTGCACTGATAGAAGTAGAGAGTAGAGGGGTAGTTACCAGAGGCTGGGGAAGGAGGCCAGGGACCTGGAAAGGGCAGATGCTGATCAAGGGGTACAAAATTTCACTTAGACATGAAGAATGATTTTGGGGGACCTATTGCACTGCATGGTGACTGTAGTTTTTAATGTATATTTCAAAATAGTTGGCCGGGCACAGTGGTTCATGCCTATAATCCCAGCACCTTGGGAAGCTGAGGCAGGTGGATCACCTGAGGTCAGGAGATCGAGACCTGCCTGGACAACATGGTGAAACCTTGTCTGTACTAAAACTACAAAAATTAGCTGGGCATGGTGGCGCACGCCTGTAATCCCAGCTACTCAGGAAGCTGAGGCAGGAGAATCACTGGAACCAACGAGGCAGAGGTCGCAGTGAGCCGAGATCACGCCACTGCACTCCAGCCTAGGTGACAGAATGAGACTCAATCTCAAAAAAAAAATTAATAAATAAAACAAAATAATAAAAAATAAAATAGTTAAGAGAGGATGTTAATGTCCTCAACACAAATAAATAATAAGTATTTGAGATGATGAATATGCTAATTAGCCTGATTTGCTCATTCCACAATGTATACATGTATCAAAATACCACATTATATACCCCATAAATATATATAATAGTTATTAGTCAGTTAAAAATAAAATAAAAATAATAGAATACTGGAAAACATAGATAAAAGTTGCTGATTTCAACATTTGATAACATGTATTAGTGTAAGATCTCTCATTTCACATAAGGAAACTTTAGGTGCTATGGAATCAACTTTACACAAGGCCAGCCTGTTCTCTGTTAGGGCCCTGAATGAGGGCCTAAACACAAAGCTCTCATCCCACAATGAGACGGGATCTAAACCTTTGCGTCTCTGCATCTCATCCCACAACATCCTCTCACCCTACAGCAGTACTGGTTCCATTAAGCCGTGGCATCCACCATGATTTCCACTCAATTTTGGACAAAGAAGACACAATAAATCACTTTTGGTAGGACACAAACATCCATGTTTCATTACTCCCAAGCACTCTAAAAATCCAACTGGGTTGGAATAAATCCTAAGGATCACCTGGGGACCTTTAAGAGGGCAGATGACCAGGCTCAACCTCAAACTTACTAAATCAGAAATTATGGGAATGAATTCCAGGAAGCTGTATGATTAAAGTACTCTCTGGGGTGACCTGAAGCAGCCCCTCCAGAATTCAGGCCCTGGCCGACATTGGCAACCACTGATCAATGAATTCTCCATAGGGGTTCAGCTGAATAGGCACAATTTGAAAATATATTTTTTTAATCATATCCTAGCAGACTCCCTTATTTGGAAAATAGATTGAAATAAATTATCTCTGGAACCTCCTTTAGGTTTCAGTCGAGCTTTGGACCTCAGAGCAGAGCTTTTCATGCAGCTGAATCCATTTTTTTCTCTTCTTCATGGTTAAAACCAAGCTTTTAAAAACATTTCTATAGAAGTGTATCAAAGTCATGTATAATGAGCCAAAAGATCTGGGAGGCAAAAGGAGCATTTTTCTGAAGTGTCATCAATTGTTTATTCATTGTTTATTATTAAAAGTTAACAATTTATCTTAACAGAATGGGTTCATCTCAATACAAGAGCCAGAGGAAGGAAAAGACAAGGTTGTGACTCACTGCAGAAGATGAATTTCATCCCCAGGGTTCCCTTGTGAAAGGAAGCAGTGAGGGAAAAAAAGATAGATGTGTTTGAATGCTATTGTGTGTACCTTATGCAAGCCTAACGTGATCGCATTTAATGGATAAAGCAAATATTTTATTCTGTTGCTACATTTGTTTTGGGAAGATTATTCTTCCAAACTCCTAAGATCAGCTTAAGCAGTCCCTATTTCATTTGGAAAAGTGAGTGTATAGATGTTGCTTTCAACCACCATCTACAAAGCAATGAAAGTTTAATAAAGAACAGGGAAGGACAAACTGAATCAGCAGACAGTGGCCAGTTAGACCAATGCCTAAAGGATCTGTGGAGCTTTGAAAAAACTAGTCCAATTCCTACCACATGTACTCCCCTACCCCTAGGATTCTGACTTCATAGGTCTGGGAACTATTCTGACCCTGCACTTGAACTTTTTTAAAACTTCCCAGGTTAATTCACCTACTTAGAATGGCAATAGTCTTTAAGAATCATCTGAACATCATTTGAAAGGGAAATGAACAATAATGGAGACTAGCCAAATACAATTGACTGTTTAAAGGCTTTTTTCTTTAAGATATTTTTGTAAAAATCACTTAATGGAACACAATCAAAACAAATCAGCAGTCACACACACACACACCTATATCATCCACTCAGTTCACATTAGTTCCAGAGATTACTACTCATCCTGAACCACCTATTTTCTCTTGTAGGAACCAGCTAAGTGTAGCTGTTCTAAATGATTCACCCTGGTATTCACTCCAAAAATAAAAAATTTATACAGTGATGACAAAGGCAGCATTTTGAGGATGTACAATTCCTTCTTGGTGCTCAACAGTTTCCAGAAAGATTCAGAACCCATATAATTACTTGTGATAGACTAAGATGCAAACAAAACTCACATCTTTGATATGAAGGTGTCAAAATATTGAGCAGAGAAGGTACTGTTTCAGAATCAACAGTATTCCTTCCTGTCTCCTCCATCTATCCCTCCCTCCACTCAGCACTTTTTTAACCAAGACTGGGCTCTGCTCCAAGCACAGTGCTAGGTCCAGGGTGGGATAACAAATGAAAATCCACATGGGACCCCAGTGGTTTTCTGAGGGACCCCAGTAGTCACTCAGGGAAGATATAACTACTTATAAATTGAGAATATAAGGTCCTAAGGACATTGAGAGAAAAAAGAGATTACGTCTGACTAAAGGGATTTGGAATGACCTACTCTAGTTATTCCCAAGGTAAATGTGATTTTTTTAAAAAAGGACAAAAGTCTTGGCAAGCAAAGCAAGAAAACAAAAAATAGTTCTTGTTAAATATTAGTTTTTGTTTATCCTGGCACATAGTAGGCTCTCAGTAAAGATATACTGAATAAATAAACATGCCCATAGATAAAAAAGCATCCTTCTCTGAAGCCCTAGCAAGAAATGGTCAATCAAGAGCAGTTCACCTACATATCAGTGTGCCCTGGCAAAGCCCCAGAAGGGCAAGAGTGGGGACAAAAGCATCCATGCAAGAGTGAACTACACAGCAGAGCTCAAGAAAGACAAGATGGAGAAGAACATCTGTGCAAGAATAAACTGAAGAGCGAATCCCGGAAGGACAAGAATGAGAAGAGCATCTGTGCAAGAGTGAAGTACACAGCACAGCCCCAGGAGGACAAGAGTGGGGAGAAGAGCATCCGTGCAAGAGTGAACTACATAGCAGAGCCCCGGAAAGACAAGAGTCGGGAGAAGAGCATCTGCACAAGAGCAAACTGTACAGCAGAGTCCAGAAGGACAAGAGTGAGGAGAAGACATCTACATGAGATTGAACAGCCTGGAAGAGACCCAGCAGGAAGAGAGCTTACCCTAGCCAAACACAGAGAGAAGGGCAGGGTGGCTACAGCACAGTGAGGGAGTGGGGCAAAAGCACAGGGTGAGGACATGAAGGCAGGATGTGGCCAAACCATGCAGAGTCATGAGCATCAAGGTCAAGAGACTGAATTTTATTCTAGGTTAATGGGAAACCAAAGAAGTGTTTTATCTAGGGAAGTGGCATAATTTAATTTTAATTATACAAGAATAATCCAGATGCTGTGTGCAGCATCAATTGGATAGGGTAAGAAGGGAAGCTCAAGTGGGGAGATCCATTTAGAACATATTTTCAGGCCTTGCTGAGAGGCAGTGGCTGCTTGGTGAGGATTGTGGCAGTGAGTAGAGAAAAGTGGACTGATTTCAGACAGAATTTGAAGGTATAATTCAAAGGATTTGTTGGTGGTGACAGACAAAGGCCCCAAGAAATCCATGTCACATCAGTGTTTCTGGCTCAAGCAGCTGGGTAGATGGAGCTTCTATTAACCTTGATGGGTAAGTCAGTGGGAAGAAGGAGTGGAGGTAGGGGAAGGAGCTGTGTCTCCCGCTCCCAAACATATGACCAATATTTTCAAAGCAATATGGGGAACCTATTTACATTAAGTGGGTGGAAATTCTATTTCAGGGGTATTTACAATTTAAAGGAGGAAAGTAGTACGAAGAAGTGACTGAGATTCCTTGAGTGATGCAGGTTCTCTGGAGTTGGGATGGATAGCATGAGGGGTGGGACTCTGGTTCCTTTCATCTCAGGCTCTACTCTACCCCCCAAGAAAGGAACACAGGGGCTCTGCAATTGCCTCACACAAGTTTCCCATGGGGTATTTGTGGTTATTTGCAATTCAAATGCATGAAATCACCTATCAAATGCTGCAAAGACAGAACAACATATTCCAAGAAATTGTAAAAATATTGATCTAAAAAGATAGTTAAAGGTGAAAGGCGTTTTTGGAGCTTTGATTCTTTGAAAAAGGCAGAGAAGAGGTACATGCTGTTAAATGTTGCTAAATTAATTAAATGGGCGAAATAAAAATGAAGATTAATCTGTAATCATTTCGTTTAAATAGTTTAAAGATACTTTAGTTGATTTCCTCTTTGCGAATTATTTAAATCATTTTTATTATGAGTTGTATACTCAAGTCCATGCTAGGCAATGTCCACTCAATGAACATATTGTCAATAATAATATCCCTGCCTTTTTTTTTTTTTTTGAGACAGAGTCCCACTCTGTCACCCAGGATGGAGTGCAGTGGCGTGACCTTGGCTCACTGCAACCTCTGCCTCCCAGGTTCAAGCGATTCTCCTGCCTCAGCCTCCTGAGTAGGTGGGACTACAGGCACCCGCCACCACACCTGGCTAATTTTTTGTATTTTTAGTAGAGACAGGGTTTCACTGTGTTAGCCAGGATGGTCTCAATATCCCGACCTCGTGATCTGCCCACCTTGCCCTCCCAAAGTGCTGGGATTTTAGGTGTGGGCCACCACACTTGGCCGCCTTTGTATGCAATGAAGGTGGCTCTCACTGACTGTCCCAAGGGCCTGTTCCACAGGTGTGTTGGTATCAGAGGACAGGATGAGTGGGCATCCATGCTCTCACCTGGTGACCAGGGATGTGGCTGGAAGACTCTGGGGGAATAAAGTCAGTCATGGACTCAAAGTTAACTAGTCTGTGATAAATACCAAAACTTTCCAGAAGACAATAAATAGATCCATGACTTCCTACAATAAAAAATCGTCTCTTCTACTGAAACTAATGGCATCTAAAACTACTAGGAGTAAAACCTTTGTCCAAATTGTGAAAGTGTTTTCCCCAAGAAGGCAGACCAAGTGTCCGACATTTTGAGGTATGTATGACAGGAAGTTTTGCCCAGTTTCTGAAAGTGACCTTAAGGACCAGCAAAGGGAGTCGCCCACTTTACCCACTAAGAGTGGCAGTGACAGCCTTTAGCACAACAACAAAGAAGGCTTTCCATTCACACTAAGTCATGAAGTGCAAAGTTTGCAAGGCAACTGGGCAGCCGTTCAGCTTCTTACCATTCTGAATGGTTCCATGTTTCAAATGATCATGTCTGTGTACTTGAAGAAATGGGATCCAGGAAATTTAAAGCTGGAGACTTTAGACTAAATCTCAGGCTAGAACTGAGCACATGTTGAAAGCCTAACTAGAAGACAACAAAATGATTGATTTCTCTCAGTCTTTGTCTCTTGCTCTTTAAAAAAAACAGCAACTTGAACCTCAGAGTTGAGACTTGAAGCACAGCCCATTTGGTCATGTCATGTGCTAGAATGCAGATGCTGTGACAGGCTAATAGACACTAGGAATTAGAAAGCAGGGTGCAAAATCTTTGAGGTCCAGAATAAATTTAGCAGGACTTAATATTGCATCCCTGAATTTTTAGCAGATGGGGATGACTTATAATAGAATATTCTTTTTATCCTTCATATTTGACTTGTCAGTCTATTAAGAAGCTGCCTCTTTACACAGGCTAAGTCATAACTGCAAATCCTATTTGAATAAGCATTTGATCTATCAGAATTTGGCTTAATAATACATTAAAATACTATCTAAAAGAAAGGCCTCAAATCTCATATAATAGCTAGAAAGAATTGTAAGCATAGGATTATATAAGATAATGTCAGTTTGGTGAAATGATATATTGTTTTATTATGTAAATAACTCTTTTCTACTCAATTTAATCTTCATAATACAACTCTTCTTATTTAAGATTTCAGATCAGGAAACTTTCTCCCAGTTATGACTGATTTGTAGATCTGCTTCTGAATTAAAATGAACAAATGAGCAAGACCACAGATGTGTCAGTTGAGAAAGAACCTTTGATGACATTTGAGGAGAAGGGTTTCCTTGCTGAAGTTGGCTGTCAGTAAAATGCAGGAGCAAGGCACAGGCTCCCACTGCACTGCCATCTCCACTTCCACTGGGGGTTTTATGGGGAATCCTTGGATTTGTGAACACCTTTAAAACACCAAACTTGAGCCTTATCAAATCAGTGAAGATTACAGAAGACCCAAGAGTCTTCCCCACGGATTAGTTGCTGCTTTAAAACAACACCGCTTTTGAAAAGGAATTCTCACAGGCACCAGCAGATTAATCCTGCCATTTCTCCACTGAGATAAATGAAAGAAGAAATAATGCCAGCAAACACTGTTCTTTCAGTATCCTTAAAAACCAAACATTCTAGAGTGCAAACTCCAAGATTTATAAGCAGCAGGAAATATGCTGTGGTGTCAAAAATAAAATAAATTCCCTGCTTATTTTGGCCAGGTACTTTTATTCCTCTCAGATTCAAGTCCAGATTGTCACATGGAAGCAATTTTTCCTTGTGAATTAATCTAAGAAGATTCACCCACCACCCTGTTCCTCCTGGGCTACCTGATGGGCTGGAACGTGACAAGAGAATAAAAATCAATGATGTAAAATAGCCCCAAACAAATGTAACTGAGAAGGAAAATAATTCCATAATTATATTTAGTATTTTCAATGTCCCTAATAAATAATGTTTAGAGTATCTGTCCATCTTATTGTTATCTTTAAATAATGTGATTAATAATACATAAGGCTTACATATTCAAGCAAATTTCAAATGGAAGTGAAGTATCCTAAATCTATCTCTGAAAATTGAAATCAGGAAGAAAATGTGACTTTAGAATTAACCCATGTGACTGCATTGTGTTCTTTTCTTCATCAGATGAATGGCACCTCATCATGACCTCACAGCCGTGGCTTTTTATTGATCAATGTAGGCTTTCTTAGTCCTATGGCAAACAGCATTTGTCCTTGGTCATGTAAGTTATTTTTATAAGAAGCTTTGTAAATCTTTCATGGTTATCTGTTATGAATGGCACAGAAGAGATTCTTTTACTGAGTGGGTTGGCCTCAAAATATCTTCCCATTTAAGTTTCAATAATTCTAAGAGGAACATTGGAATTTGAAATTGCACTACTACCTCTCAAATTGGAGAAGGACAAAATGAGCAGAGCAAATAGCAATTTATCTAAGCAAGCAAAATGAGCAGGCACTGTGGCAGGTGCTTTTTATTAGAAATTTTATTTAGCATTCACAACTACTAGGTGATATAGTATTAGTGTCTCTCTTTTGTAGAAGAAGAAAGAGAAGAAACAATTGTCTCAGCATCACACACTAGGCGGCCTCCATGTCTGACTTCTAAGTCCACTCAATTTTCAATACTTATCCTTTCCCCTCCTTCTATAGTTATTATTTATGAGGATAATAATGCATGCGGGGCTTGAAATCTGGATGACGGGTTGTTGGTTGCAGCAAACCACCATGGCACATATATACCTATGTAACAAACCTGCACTTTCTGCGCATGAATCCCAGAACTTAAGTTAAAAAACAAACAAACAAACAAACAAAAACTTGCTTTTATAAATCATAAAAATAACAAATACCCAGTCTGAAGAATGTGAGTTACTGGTTTACTTTCCCCAAACTTAGGCAAATTTTGGTAAAGATTATTTAAATAAAGTCATTTTCAAACTGTAAATGTAAAAAATAGTCAAAATTTAAATCCTCTGTCTTACAATTGGAATGTCAACAAGAAGAAGAAGCACTCTTCCGTTTTTAGGGCACTAATGCATGCCTTATGGTGTCAAGTCTTGAAAGTAAGATGTAAGTGGTTAGTAGTGACTTTGACTTTACTATAATTACTGTTACACCAAGCATCATTTTAACATTTGCCTTAAAAATAGCAGAATATTGATAAGCAAGGTGATTGCATATCTTTTACCCATAAGAATTTTAGACAATGTATATATTTTTTAAGACAGAGTCTCGCTCTGTCACCCAGACTGGAGGGCAGTGGTGTGATCTCGGCTCACTGCAACCTCTACCTCCTGAGTTCAAGTGATTCTCCTGCCTCAGCTTCCTGAGTAGCTAGAATTACAGGCAAGCACCATCACGCTCAGCTAATTTTTGTATTTTTAGTAGAGACAGGGTTTCACCATGTTGGCCAGGCTGGTCTCGAACTCATGACCTCAGGTGATCTGCCCACCTGGGCCTCCCAAGGTGCTGGGATTACAGGTCTGAGCCACAGTGCCTGGCTAGACAATATCATTTCTAGTTTGCATAGGTTTATTGAATTCTATCCCTCCTTTATTGTTTTTTAAATAAGCATACAAGGAAATTGTCTGCTTTCTTGTGAACCATATAAATCATTTTCCATAAGTGAGAATTTTCCTCCCTCAATGGCTCATCGGTTAACATTCTCAATATAAGTAACTTCAATTAACTTCAGTTTTATAAGTGTAATATCTTGCCAAAGCTTATGACTGAAAACATTTAGTACTTGCAAGCGTTTTGCATCAAATGTCCAAATAAAATAGTCACTTTTTCCTTTATAAATGTTATCTTTCCACTAATAAATCAATTACTCTTTAAACTGATGTCTCCTAACCTCACCTAACAAAGTACAGTTATTAGAACATAACAGTGTCCTGAGGCTGGTCAGGGGGCAGCGTGAGAGCCGTCTGACAGCTCTGATACCCAAGGACGAAAATAGGACAAGCTTCCAATTCAGCAGTTGCTCCTGAAACCTTTCAACCAGCTAGCAAACATACATCTCGTTCATTATTTTTACCTTTTTAAAATTCTCACACTTTTCCAAATATGTATGTTTTTCCCCCTTGGAGTGCTTTAAAACAACTTGATCAAAGCATGCCAAGTTAACACCAGTCCACTGAGCAGGACAAGGTGCACAGACTGGAAAGCTGCCCTGCAAGGAGGAACTCATTTTTTTCCCTAAAACTACCAGATGTTACTTCTTTAAATATTCTGCAATAACTAAGGTACCCAGACCAATTGAACCATAACACTATGTATGACCTTGCACGGTTAGCCTCCGAGATAATATCACGTGATAGTTTGGGGTGGTGGGTCAAAGCCTGGCCCTTACCTATGAACACCCCTGAGCCTGTCTTCTCATGGCTAAGGTGTGGACCAGAGTGTCTGCCCACCGGGACTGCACGAGGGTGTCATGCAATTTGACAGTAAACGTTTATGTCAAGCACTGTGAATCATAACGTGCTCTGTATGCTCAGCTGTTATTATCATAGTTCTGCAACTTATTAAGGGTCAAGGTCCTCAGAAATCAAAGAAGGAAGAGACATGGAGTTGGATTTACCAATTCTTCATTTTCAAACTCCGGGTTACTCTGTGCTGCTTCGTCTGTCACAGGTTTCTGAACAATGTTTCTACAGAGGAGCCAGATGGTCAGACTAGCAATGAACATCCCGATGTCAGGTACAAACACTCTGATCCCATTGCCAGCATCAGCTCCCTTTAAGCTATAAAGGAAAAACAAGGGGAGGGGAAAAAAATTTAGTTCTTATATTTCTACGGTTAAACTGCCTTATAGGATGTTTTGGTCTTCTTAATGATTTAAAATAAAAGATGCTCCGTTTCTCCCTAAAAGGTACAAGAAAGCTTTTTATTGACCTCAGTGTCTCACAAAATCTACACATTCAGGAAGATTCCAGTGTTCCCTGGAGTTTCAGAAATATTATAAAGAACTTTTGAACCAATCCTCACTCCTAAAACGTCCTAATGGACTATGTTTTTGTTAAATAAACCACATGTCCAGTACAAATGCAGTTGTTTGCAATCTAGCTGAAGCAGTCTAAAACTAAATACATACTAGCAGCTAGAAGATATTTTACTTTTGATATAAGTCAAAGATACAAGGAAAATAGAGAAAATGTTAAAGTAATCCTGGAATCCAGGACCTCTTCATTATTTTGTATACTTGGTTGATTTTGTCTTCTGTATTGTTCCAAGAAAGGTGGATCCAGTACATTTTCTCTTTTAATCCCAGAGAAACAACACTGAACTTAGAAGATTTGAGTTCAAGTCCAAGTCTGAAACTTAGTAGTTGCATCCTGCTGGGGGCTTCTCACAGCCATCTGTTCTGCTGTGCTGAGGAAGTAATACTATTTGCCTTCCTTATTTTGTTCAAGTGACATGAGATACTAGGTCACGGTTTTAGAAGAAAATATAAATACATATACATGAAATAATGTTCGTGAAAGTTCTTTGTAAAGAATGAAACACATATTTTCACTAAGCCTACATTTTGAGAAGAGCAGCATCAATTGACACTTAGATAATTTTCACACATATAGGGCATTTTTGTTATAATTGAGATCCTGAAACAAATATATTTAATAATATAGCAGGCAGCAAAGGCCAGAAGGTGAAGTGGAGAGTAGAAAGGGCTTCAACTGGAAAAGGAGGAGAGATCTGTCTGGGAAGGTAATACAAACGCCATCTGTGATTTTGGGAGGCGTCCAGTGGTAATGAATATGGGAATGAGAGGCAGTATACTGAGTTGCCAGCATAGTTGGCCAGCACACATCACCTCAGCTGAAATGTGTTCTGGCTAAGCTCACTCTGCTGCAAGACACCAGAGCTTAATAGGCACTGGCAGACTTCTCACACCATTCAGCACACGACACGGGCCAGCCATGTCCCTCATCCGGTGCTAGATGCCTGCCCTGTGTGCCTTTGCAACACTGAGCAACTGGGCTTGCAGTGCTCTAGTGATGTGTAGTGCTGTAACCACAGTACCTATTACTATTATTAAAGCCACATGAAGAGCGATTCCCGGCATGTTCTCTGCTCACTCATATAATATAAAATAAGCTGTAACAAGAAAAAGCTAATGAAATGACTAGGTGATATGAAGAAAAAGTTATACAGACTTAGGTTTACAAAATGAGTTTAAAATAGGGAGGATACAGGTAGAGGAGTCAAGAGTCTGTACCAGCATTAAAACTTCTGGGGAAGATAAGATGATCCATGGAAAAATCAAGCATAGAACTTCAAAGGAGGGTTAAGTCTTTGAAAAAATGTTTATCAGAGATACAACTTACTTAGGGAAAGGAAGCAAAAGATAGGGCAATATACCATGTAAATACATACACACATATATACATATTCATATGCACTTTAAGTGATTACACACTGTATTCGTTTACATTATATATTATATATTTTGGTGAAAATATTTAAAAATATTAAATAGCAAGAACCTTGGCATCTAGAAATAGCTACTGTTAATATTTTGGAAAATAAAAGTTATCAATAATACCTACCATTTTCTGAGCAGTTACTTCGTGCTAAGAGCTTTAGACACATTATTAATTAATCCAACCAACCATCATATTGAGTTAGGCATTATTATCCTTTTACACGTGAAAAGACTAAGGCTTCAAAAGGCAATCTAACTTCCCAAAAGCCACATAGAGAACAGAATTATACTCCATTCTCCCTACGTTCACTTTTATGCTTTCAACCGCTTTCCCATGTATGTATCCACATGGCCTTCCTTTCCAATCTTCCTTCTATACATGGATGTGCACATTTATACTTAACAAAACTAAGTTCATTATTTACCTACTGTTTGCAAGCTGATTTGTTCATTTAACATGTCATTAACATTTTTACAACTCATTGATGATTTATTTTTATATATCATCATACTAATGGACAGACGGTATTTAACTAGTCAACTACTGTTATAAATAGAATGTTTCCACGTATTTGTTACTATAATATACATAAAAATTAAAACTTAATTAAAGAGTCTTCTAATCTAGGATCTCCTAGGAATCAATCTTCAATCTAATCAGATTTGCTTTAAAAAATGGTCTAGCCTGAAACTATGACACTACTAGAAGAAAACATGAAAACTGCTAGAAGAAAACTATAAAACTACTAGAAGAAAATATGAAACTACTAGAAAAAAACACTGTGGAAACATTTCAGAACATTAGTCTGGACAAAGATTTTTTTGGGTAAGACCTCAAAAGCACAGGCAACAAAAGCAAAAGTAGACAAATGGGATTATATCAAGCTAAAGAGTTTCTGCCCAGCAAAGGAAATAATCAACAGAGTGGAAAGACAACCTAGATAATTGGAAAAAATATTTGCAAACTATCCAGCTGAAAGGAATTAATAATCGGAATATATAAGAAGCTGAAACAATCTAATAGTAAAAATAAACAACCAATTAAAAACAGGCAAATGACTGAAATAGACATTTCTCAAAAGAAGACATACAAATGGACAACAGCTTATGTAAAAAAATGCTCAGCATCACTCATCATCAAGGAAATGCAAATCAAAACCACAACGAGTTATCCTCTCACCCTAGTTAGAATGGTTATTATCAAAAAGACAAAAAAAAATGCTGACAAGGATGTGGAGAAAGGGGAACCCCTGTATACTGTTGGTGGAAATGTATAATAGTGTAGCTACTATAGAAAACAGCATGGAGGTTCCTCGAAAACTTAAAAATAGAACTACCATATGATCCAGCAATCCCACTGCTAGGTATATACTCAAAAGAAAGGAAATTAGTATATCTAAGAGATATCTGCACTTCTATATTTACTGCGGCACTATTCACAATAGTCAAGATATGGAATCAACTTGAGTGTCCATCAACACTCAAGAATCAGGGATCAAGAAAATATGCTGTATATACACAATGGAATATTATTCAGCCATAAAAAAGAATGAAATCCTGTAATTTGCAGCAACATGGAAGAAACTAGAGGTCATTATTTTAAGTGAAATAAGTCAGACACACAAAGACAATGTTCTCATTCATATGTCTGAGCTAAAAAAGTGGATCTCATAGAGGCAGAGAATACAGAGAGGTGGTAACCAAAGGCTGAGAAGGATGGCAGGAAGGGGGAGCGAGGAGTAGTTGGTTAATGAGAATAAAAATAGAGTTATATAAAAGGAATAAGTTCTAATGTTCAATAGCACAGTAGGATGACTATATTATTAATAATAGTTTATTATATATTTCAAAATAGCTAGAAGATTTAAAATATTCCCAACACAAAGAAATGGTAAATGTTTGAGGTGATGGATACCCCAATTACCCTGATTTGATCACTTTATATTGTATGAATGTATCCAATATCACATGTACCCCAAAATATGTACAATTATTACAAATCAACTTAAAAAATGATCTGGAAGAGGAACTGTCCTGTGAAAGCTTAATTTTTACAAATCGCCTCTAAACTCTTACCCCATTTAAAAAAATGCTTGTGTTAAAGGTCTTAAAATACAGCAAATTCCTTTCATTTGGAGAAAGAGTAAGAAAATCCAATTAAGAGAGCTTCATCCAAACTACATTTATATTATAGTAATGAAATCTGATGAATGAATTCATCATAGGAAAATTGCAGAGATTCATTGTATACTTTTAAAGTCTACCTAACATGATTGAAAAGGGTAAACTAGAATTAATACCATTAGAATGAGAAAAAATGGGGATCAAGGAATGAGAAAAAATGGGGATCAAGAAAAGAGACCAGTAAGAAAAAAGGCCAGGCTTGGGTGGCTGTTTCGGTGTGGGGCTGAGGTCAGGAGTAGTAGTAGGTTGGTACTACTCAGGTGGATTTTTGGCAATCGATTATTATAGCTCTTTCATGGAAAACAAATTGACTGTGTCATTTTATGAAAAGCACCATCCAAGTACAGTCGAGAGAAAAAGACTTCTTATATTAAAGTAACAAGAACTCCAGCTGTGGCCTCAGCTGCTTCTTACACCACAACAGACAGAGCAGGAAAGCCAGAGCCTTATATCTTTCCCACCTGTGGATTGCATTAAGCCCCAATTTGCAAACATCACTTTGAGGCAACAGTCTCAGCTTTGTGCTTCTTGGTCCCAAAAGAGACATTTTATAACACACATATATTAAGGGAATAAATGAATGTAGTTTGCTAAAGCAATTACTCCACCTGCTGTGATAGAATTTAGCTACTGAATCCAGAATTGGGCTGCGACCCCTACTTAGAATGGAATCATTCAGCCATAGAGGTGCTAAACTATTAACTACTACTCTTGGCTTGCTGAGTTAACAAAGCAGTGCATTCATAATACTGCCATTGCAGAAACAATGATACTTTTGAAAAGTATGCACAATAAACAGGTCATAGTCTGACTGATATGTCATTTGGAGACCATCTTATCAATTGTGTTTCCTTCTTCAGTGCTTACTAAAGTACGTTCATCAGAATGCCAGTCCTCAGAAATGCATTCCATTAAAACAAAACAAAACAAGACAAAAGAGAAAAAAGAAACAGTCATTGGTCCAGTCAATGTGAGAAACTCACAATGCATACTATTATACTAAAAGACTTGAGAAGTTCTGTAGTAAAACAGTTACATTTATTTGACCTGGAAACCATTTCTTACCAGTTTCTTCTAAGACTATTACATGTGACAGAGCTAGTGTGCAAGGAGCAGCTTTTGGGAAGTGCTGGGCTACAGAATCTTCCTTGGTCTCTGTTTCTCTTTGAAATGAATGAATAATTTGGAAACTATACTAATGTACATAATTATACACCTACCTTCTCTATACATTTAGTTTTTAATAAGTCTTTAATAATTTGGAAGTCGGTAAATCTCATTTCATTCCCTCATCTAATCACCCAACTACCCATCCGTTCACTAAGTCAGTCATTGAAATTATGGAGCTGGATGAGAATTAGAAATAGTCTAGTCCATTTCCTCATCTTACAGAATGTGGAAACCAATGAGTTTTGAATGCCTGGTTCAAATACACAGTTGGAGACAGAGCCTGACAGCAAGCTCAGGCTTTTTACTTTCTCACTTTGTGTTTGGAGCCAACACTCACTACATGGGCTCCCCTTGCCCATCATCCACCTAATGCAACAGGCCTCCTCAACCCACCACTGCTCAGAAAATGCCCTCTCAGGGGCTGCCCCTGCTCTCCCAACTGCAAGGCCCAAGTGACCCATTCCAATTCTCATCACATTCCACCTCCATGCTGCATTTGACAAGCAAGACCAACCCCTTCTACTCCCAAATCTCCGTTCCCGTGGTTTTCTTACACTCTCTTCTAATTCTCTACCTACCTATGAATATCCATGAAAACTCATGTTGCTGGGAAGCCCCACTAAGAAATTCTGACTTGTATTGTAGCCACCAGACTCTTCTCTACGTCCTACTTAATTGTTGATGAGTCCACAAAATTCTGTTCTTCATTTATTTTTCTTCTCACTCTACAAGATCACCCTGGATGATATCCATCCCCAAGGCCCTAATCAGCATCCACATGGTGACTTATCCATTCATTTCAATCAGAATCACAGATCAATGAACATTTTCTAGCACACCATTTCCCAAAAGCTGTTTCATGAACACTAGCTCTTTAGAATGAAATAGTGTTAGATTAAATTTTTAAGAAATGGTTTTAAGGGCAAATAATGTAATGCCCAGTCCAACTCGTCCGCTGAGAAACATTAGCATATATCCATTTTCCTACTGGATATCTGTACTTCAGTATCCCATAGATTTTCCATTCAGTGTTATTCTTACTCCAAATTAGCTCTTCCTCCTATAGTCCTAATTTTGGAAAACACGGCTGTCATCAACCTAGTGACCAAAACAGAACCTGGAAGCTTCCATTCTCTCACTGAAAGACTGGAGGAGATTCTGACTTCTAACGTCTCCTTTCCCAGCCCTCCCCTTTATCCCCACAGCCCGGTCTGGCCTCTGGGTGACGGTAGCAGCATCCTGATGATTTCATCTCAGGTTGTCCCCTCTGCCAGCCAGGCCTCCACATTAATATCAGAGTTTAGTTTTTAGCAGCATAAAGCTGATCATGTCAACCCCACGGCCCCCAGGAAACATCCACATTCCTAAGCGTGACAAGGGGCCCTCCACATCCCAGATCTGGTTTCCCTTATCTCTTGCCATCATTTCCCTCTACCTCAAATTCCGGCCATACTGAATGCACGTACCCAGAACGCGCCAGTGTTTTCCCTCTGAGCAAGTGTGCAGTCTTCTCCCTTGGCCAACTTCTCCCAGTATGCTTCAGGTTCTCCTCATCTCTAAAAACACACCTGCCATGTCTCCTCTGTGAAGCCCTTCCTACCTTGCCCCTCCACACCCATTCCAGAATAGAATGGACCGCCATCCCTCCCACATCCTCCATCAGTAGATGTTTAACACTGTGTCACTCACTGATTTACCAATCTGCCTAACAGAAGCCCTTGCCTGTTTCATCTGTTTCCCTGGGGACCAGCATGGTAGATGGTGCAGTGTAAACCATCAGTAAAGGCTGGCTGGATGCATGCTAGCTCCAGGACATATCGCTGCCTCTTCAAATATTTGTTCTTTTCTTTTTATCATGATAGTTTGTGCAAAGCACTGTTGAAGAATTAGATGAGACACCTACCATAAAGAGCTCTGTAATTCAGCTCGGGGAAGATAATACACAAACACTAAGAGGAGGGAACATTACTGTTGCCTGGTAATGGCATTGAGATCACAGAGAGTTTACAAATAAAGTTTCAGTTATTTGCACATGCAGATTTCATTGTCAAAATTGGAAGCTATAACTCATTAAAACATATGTTCATAGTTATTAAATAAATGTGTTGGAGAAAATATTTCAAAAACAAAAGAAATGAAGTGTATCTAATGAACATTAAATGGCTCAATTTGACAGAATTTTTAATTCACTAATTCAAAAAAATTATTAAGCACTTACTATGTGCCAGACACTGTCTCTAAGCACAGAGTATTGGTTGTGAAGTTATATATGAAGGAAGTAAAGTCAGAAACACAGGGTAAGGTCAGACCATACAAAGCTTGGATGTTTTGAAAAAAAAAAAAAATCACATAACCAGAACTACAGAAAGACCTGAAGCAAAGGACAAACATGATCCCCAAGGAAATGAAGGCCACAGGAGAAACAGTGACGTGGCTGCTGGTAGTGCAGGTGGTGTTTTCACAATGAGTGTCAGGTGTGGTTAGGACTTTCAGGTGCAGAGGTGAGACTTTAAACTGAAAGCCACATGGAGTTTGTGCCTGGGAGCAAAGTCATGGCTGATGAGGTAGGTTCAAGAGTTTTCTTCTCACATGTGTTAGCTAAAGTCAAGAGAGTAAATTAGATTATCCAGGGACAGTGCATAGCATAAATATGTGTGTAAGGTTCTCTAACCTAATCATAAGTATACACTACAGGGCATTTAACAATAAATTAAATTTTATTTCAAGCCAATTCTGCACAGAATCAGGCTAACCAGGTTTTGTGTAGATGAAGTCCCATTTTAATAAATCAGTGAGACCAATGTGTCCATTTTCCCATAAAATGACCTAAGCTGCACTGTTTTCCAGGTGCATGACAATGACGTGTTTTACACGGAAGCACATACTAAACTACCTCAAACTTCATGTTCTCTCGAACAGGCAAAAGAGTCCTTTCCAATCTTTTTTTTTTTTTTTTTTTTTTGAGACGGAGTCTTGCGCTGTTGCCCAGGCTGGAGTGCAGTAGTGCGATCTCGGCTCACTGCAAGCTCCGCCTCCCGGGTTCATGCCATTCTGCTGCCTCAGCCTCCTGAGTAGCTAGGACTACAGGCACCCGCCACCACGCCTGGCTAATTTTTTGTATTTTTAGTATAGACGGGGTTTCATCATATTAGCCAGGATGGTCTCGATCTCCTGACCTCATGATCTGCCCGCCTCGGCCTCCCAAAGTGCTGGGATTACAGGCGTGAGCCACCGTGCCCAGCCTCCAATCTTGTTAGAGTCATACTGATCTTACTTGTTCAGACAGTGATTATACCCCTTGAAAGGAACTCAAGGAAGCTGAAATTTCTAAATAACTTACCTGTCCATAAAGAGGAGACTAGGCATTAAATTATGGCATATCCATCAAATCAAATACTACACAGCAATAAATAAGTACAAGTGCATGTGTGATCCAGGTCTACATCTGTGAATATGAGTGTATATCATAATGGTGAAAAAAATGAGAAATATGCAAAATATAGATTGCTTAGGGTTTCATGCATAAAAACTACTATAAAAATGACAAACACCTATTTCAGCGCAGGGGAGAGGGATACAATTAACGGTATTGGTAATGCTCAAGTTCTTAAGCTTGGTGAAAGCTGGTTGGTAGATACAAAAGTGTATCTTTAATACTTCAGACTGTTTTTAAAAGCTGCAACAGTCAGACTGCTTATATTTTCCTGTGTAGAACGAATATGAAAGATACTACACCAATTACTTTGACTGGGATAATGACCAATTGAGGCACTGATGGCCATGCCTGAATTTGGTCTGATAAATTTATTAATCAAATTCAATTGCCATTCTCCTGTCAAAGACCAGAGAAGAAGCAAGACAGGTGGATACTCATGGGAAGACTACTTTATTTTTCTAAGTTTCAATTTCTCACCTTACAAAGTGACTTCTTAGGATCTTTCCAACTCCAAAATTTCATTTCTACCATGAATACCCAAAATAAGGCAGCAATGAAATTTAGATGAGACCAGGAAAGAAGAAAAATGTTGGAGTATTGCTGTGAGGCATCCAGGTGAGAGGACCATCACAGTCATCTTCAGAAGTTCACAAAGAACAACTTTTGGGGGCAAATCAGAGTTGGTGGAAAGGTCACCTTCAACTGAATTACAACAACATGACTAAAATGTCAAATGAGCATTGTTTAAACAAATAGGAACTGTTAAGATGGTTCCCTAGTGGCTTCTGAAGTTCACACGCTGAGAGATAGTCTACTTTTGTTTGTCTTAAACTTAAATATGACTCTGATGCAGGTGTCTTTAGTCACTTGGCTTCAATAACTTTAAAGGCAGACAAATAGCAAAAACTCAATAAAATGGTAAGACCCCTGATTTCCATTTCAACTGCTTCCCACATATCATATATATATATATATATATATATATATATATATATATATATATATATATATATAATTTTGATATGAGAGAGAGACTATGTTTATTTAATATCTGACCTCATATAGCAAGTCATGTGTGTGGCAAGACTAATATATTTGGTGTAAATAGAGAAAGGTTTAGATTACAAACTCTGGAAGGAAATGTAACATTTATTGAGAATCACTTCCAATATTCAAATCAAGGGATTCCAAAGTTAATGACGCATTAGAGAAAACAAACAGTTAGCTTGTTTCTGTGAAATTAGGTACCTTTTTTTAAACCACAAAACAGTCATTAAACGCAGATATCTAATTACCTTAAGGTATGAATTGTTGCTGGATTTTCAGGAGATATATAGATATGTATGTATGTATGTATGTATGATGTATTTTACATTGGTGGCCGGATTTGTGTGAGTGCCACACGGATTGAGTATTTGAATCTACTAACCTCACTGTGAGAGTTGCTAATTTCCATTTGGAACACACAGTGCTTTATTCTCCTAAAAGGGTATACTGGTTATTTATGAGGCAGCAGGTCTGTTAAAAGAGTCCTAACTCCCTGGCCTTGGCGGAGGGCATTCACAGAGGTGAGAGTAGGATGCCGGGCCAAGGGGACCATCACTTACTTGCCTTTATGCACTCTGCTCCTCAGGAGTTTGCTGAAACTGCCTGGGACTGACTCTTCCCAATTCTGTGCTCCATGAAAGATTATTACTAGCTTAGAGTCTACCACAGTGGGAGCATCAGATCATGGAAATTGGTATAAATGCTGCAAATCAGTATTTTTTTCCCTAGAGAGCCAGTTGTTAAACATTTACCAACACACAACTGCTGCTATTGAACGACTACAACAAACAAAAGAATTGAATAACAACAACAAAAAACTCCAAAACAATAAAACTCACTCCTTTTGTCCTGTGACTCTCTTAGATAAGTCATTAAAAATACCCCAAAACCTAGAGCGCCAAATCCAAAGTCCTCCCTCAGCCTGGTGATCAGCCCCACGACAGTACTCTTTTTTTTGCCATCTTCAATCTCACTTCTTGCTGATTCTAAACTGACACTCTTTCTTCCAGGCTCCTCATCATCCCAGGACAGTGACAGAGTCATTCCAACATCCAGATCTCTGCTGATGCAGTTTCTATCACTTTGAATTTTCACCCGCCTCTTTTACACGTATCCTAATCAAAACTAATGTGTGCCTTCTTAACTTGTTGAGGGCAATATTTAGGTACGGACAAGGTCATACACAGTATCCACTCGTCTCTCATCCTGTCACCTTCTCCAGGCATCCGAGAGCTCCCCATGTGTTTACTTGGCTGATTCCGTGACCATGGCAGGACTATCGCCAGGAGAAGGCCACAGTGGCCTCTCTTGATCCTGAAATCCCCTCAGAAATACTTTCTTATTGCTTAAGAAAAATAATGACAAAAATTCAGTGACCCAAGGCCTTTCTCCAGTTACCCCCGGCCCAACTTGAGAGAACTGTTCTGCCTCTTCTTGCATTTGACTTCTGCCTTCCTTTCTAGTTTCAAATCTTTTAATCTCAACTAGTAATATTTCAAAAACAACATTTGGGAATTGACAAATTGTATTTAGTAAGGACATTAAAAATCTAATATATTAACTTCGTTTTATACAATTACATTCAAACATATGAAATACAGGAAGCATGTTATCAGAAAGACAATTCTTTCTTTTTTATGCAAAGGTTTTCATTTAAAACATTTTTTCCCATCATCTCCTCCTTCTCCTTTCCTCCCTGGCCTCTGGTAACCACCAATCTACTCTATTTTTATGAGATCCATTATTTTAGCTCCCACATATGAATGAGGACATGGGATGGTTGTCTTTCTGTGCATGGCTTGTTTCATTTAACATAATCACCTCCAATTCTATCCTGACAAGATTTCACTATTTTTTCATGGCTAAATAACATTCCATTGTGCATATGTACCACATTTTCTTTTTTTCTTTTTTTTTTTTTTTGAGATGGAGTCTTGCCCTGTCACCAGGCTGGAGTGCAGTGGTGCGATCTCAGCTCACTGCAACCACCACCTCCTGGGTCCAAGCGATTCTCCTGCCTCAGCTTCCTGAGTAGCTGGAACAACAGGTGCCTGCCACCACCTCCAGCTAATTTTTATATTTTTGGTAGAGACATGGTTTCACCATGTTGGCCAGGATGGTCTCGATCTCCTGACCTTGTGATCCGCCCAACTCAGCCTCCCAAAGAGCTGAGATTACAGGCGTGAGCCACTGCACCAGGCCTATGTACCACATTTTCTTTATCCATTTATCTGTTGATGGACACAGGTTGATTCTATATCTTGGCTATTGTATATAGTGCTGAAATAAACAAGGGAGTATAAATATCTCCTTGACACACAAATTTCCTTTCTCTTGGGTATATATACCCAGCAATGGGATTGCTGGGTCTCATGGTAGTTCTGTTTTTAGTTTTTGAGGAAGTCCATACTGTTCTCCATAATGGCTGCACTAATCTACATTCCCACCAAGAGTGTACAAGGGTTTCCTTTTCTCCATATGCTCACCAGCACCTCTTGTTGCTATTGTTACTGTTATTCTTGAACTTACAAATAAAAACTATAGATATTTATTACGTAGCTAGGCATACGTTAGATATACATATATAACTATACATTAGAGAAATACATTATGGAATTATGAAATCAAGTGAGTCAACACAGACATCATCTCACATACTTATCTTCTTTTCATGGGAAGGACACTTAAAATCTACTCTCTAAGCAATTTCCAAGAATACAATACATTAGTAACTAGAGTCACCATGATGTACACTAGAGGTCTTGAACTTATTCTTCCTGGTGTACCTGAAATTTGGCATCATTTGACCAACATCTCTCCAATCCTCCCCACCTCAGCCCTTGGTAAGTATCAGTTTACCCTGTTTCTATGAGTCCTACTTCTTTTTTTTTTTTGAGACAGAGTCTCAATCTGTCGCCTAGGCTGGAGTGCAGTGGCACGATCTTGGCTCACTGCAAACTCCCCCTCCCAGGTTCATGCTATTCTCCTGCCTCAGCCTCCCGAGTAGCTGGGACTACAGGTGCCCGCCACCATGCCTGGCTAATTTTTTTGTATTTTTAGTAGATACGGGGTTTCACTGTGTTAGCCAGGATGGTCTTGATCTCCTGACCTTGTGATCCACCCACCTCGGCCTCCCAAAGTGCTGGGATTACAGGCGTAAGCCACCGCAACTGGCCTATGAGTCCTACTTCTTTAGATTTTCCATTTACATGTAATCGTGATGATGTGATATTTGTCTTTCTACGCCTGGCTTATCTAATGTCCTCTAGATTAATCCAGTTGTCGCAAATGAGAGGATTTCCTTCCTTTTATGGCTGAATAATATTCCATTGAGTATTTATTCCACATTTTCTTTATTCATCCATTGATGGACACAGGTTGATTTCCTGTTTTGGCTATTGTGATTAGTGCTGCTATGCATTTGTCTTTTTCTTACTTACTTTCTGTGTGTTTGCTAGGGATATTCCGTCCTCCTCCAACCCTAGTTATTCTTATAGCTTATTGTTTGGAGTCCTCAAATCCTTTATGTATGACAAAGGGGAAAATTCCACCATAACAGGCACAAAAACAGAGCCACACCACATGGCTCACATCCTGAAATGGCTTGCCTTCCAAGTGAGAAGCAAAGCACTGGCCACATTGCCTGGCTAGTGAGCTGCCTGCTTCGTGGAGGTGGGGTATAAGGACACCATTAACGACTAGCAGAAATCTCCGTCCTTCTACCACACTGGCAGTGAACACAGTGCATCACATCAGATGTCCCCCCTGCTGGAATTAGTGCATCGAATAACTTAAGAAAAATGAACTAAAATTAATTTTACTAAAAGAAGATAAGATACACAGTGGGTGGCTCCAACAGAGTAGCACATTTATCCTCTTTATAAACACTGGGTCAGGAGAAAAAAGCAAGAATCTTTGTATGTCACTACTAGAAGATAACAAGGAAGAGCGAAAACAGCATGAACTTTGGACTTAAAGACCACAAACTGGACCCATTCCTTCTCATTTATTTCCACAAATATGTGTGAGCGTCTATCATATCATAGACATTTTGCCAAGCCCTAGGCTGACAGTGCTGAGAAAGCCAGTGTGCTTTGTATAGGCCTGTGTATCTTAGGAGAGGCTGATATGGAAGAAAATACATTCCCGAAAAACAGATGAATGCAACACCACACGTGTGTGGCAAGCTCAGCATAAAGAGGGAATAAAGCCGGGCGTGGTGGCTCACGCCTGTAATCCCAGCACTTTGGGAGGCCGAGGCGGGCGGATCATGAGCTCAGGAGATCGAGACCATCCTGGCTAACATGGTGAAACCCTGTCTCTACTAAAAATACAAAAAATTAGCTGGGCGTGGTGGCAGGTGCCTGTAGTCCTAGCTACTCAGGAGGCTGAGGCAGGAGAATGGCATGAACCCGGGAGGTGGAGCTTGCAGTGAGCCGAGATTGAGCAACTGCACTCCAGCCTGGACGACAGAGCGAGACTCTGTCTCAAAAACAAATCAATAAATAAAAAGGGAATAAAACACTGTATTTGTCAAGGAGGTGATAGGAACAGTTCCCTCAGTTGGTGAAGTATGTGGTGGGGTTTGAAGGCAGTCTGAAACAACATGATGTGTCCATGGGATTATAAGCAAAATGATTTTGTTGTCATCTAGAAATGAGAACGAATGGTAGGAGGGAGGTTTGAAAGGTACCACGGTCAGGGTCATTGGGAACCTTGACTGTTTTCCTAAGTGTTTGGAGAGGTATTGGGGAACATTTATAAGTCACTCTCTTGTTATGTGAACATAAGGCAAGTTATTTCGCTTCTCGCTTTCCTGAATTACAAAGTGAAAAAACATAATGCATCCCTCCTAAGAATTTGAGAGTAAACCAAGCTATTTGCTCTGCTCATAAATGGCCTGCTAGAAGAATTTCAGATGACTAGCAGAAGCTGGGCTTGGGAGTGGTCAGGGCTGTGGGCGTGGATTAAAAATGAGCCAGGGTTTGTTCCTATTCAAGTCAAGTACATAGGTTTAGAAGCAAGGAGGAAACAAAATGTCAAGTGCAAAGAATCAAGAAGAAAATAAAGCCAGAATCCGAAGAAAACCTCACGCAAAAGAGAATGTGTAAATAGGACAAGCAGTTTTGGAGATGGATAAAAAGACAAAATCACTAACACACACACACACAAAGTGTGGTGAACCAAGCAAGTGGAAGCTCAGTCCATATTCAGGAAGTGTGTGCTGATGGTGTTTTGTGCATTTGTGCATTTTGCGCATTTGTGTCAGATAAGTAAAGACAAGACAACTGCAGTGTGTGTGCAGTATCCACCCTCATCCTGGGATGAGACATTTCAAGAACCCCAGTGGATGCTTGAAACTGCAGATGGTACCAAACCCTATACATACATATATATATATATATATATACACACACACACACACACATATATATGTGTGTGTGTGTATATATATATATATATATATATATATATATATATATATATATGTAATCTCCAGCATTGGGGATTACAATTCAACATGAGATTTGGGTGGGGACAAATATCCAAACCATATATATATACGCATATACACATTATATATATATGATGTTTCTCCTATACATATATGCCTATGATACAGGTTAATTTATAAATTAGGCACAGTGAGAGATTAACAATAACTAATAATAAATTACAGTAATTATAATATTATACCATGATAAAATTTATGTGAATGTGATCTCTCTTTCTTTTTCTCAAAATATCTTATTGTGCTGTGCTCACCTATTTTCAGACCACAGTTGACCATAAGTAACTGAAACCATGGAAAGTGAAATGGCTGATCAGGGGGAACTACTGTACTTTCCCCAAATAAGGACCTTCTAATAAATTATCACTGTATTAGGCCTTTCTTGTCTTGCTATAAAGGAATACCTGAGATTTAATAATTTGTAAAGAAAAGAAGTTTAATTGGCTCACGGTTCTGAAGGCTTTACAGGAACCACGGTGCTGGCATTTGCTTGGTGTCTAGGGAGTCCTCAGAAAGTTTTCAATCGTGGCAGAAGGTAAAAGGGGAAACAGGCACATCACAGGCCCAGAGCAGGAGCAAGAGAGACGGAGAGTTGTGGGAGAGTGGGGAGGTGACACACTTTTTTTTTTTTTTTTTTTTTTGAGACAGAGTCTCGCTGTGTTGACCAGACTGGAGTGCAGTGGTGGAATCTCGGCTCACTGCAACCTCCGCCTCCTGGGTTCAAGCGATCCTCCTGCCTCAGTCTCCTGATTAGCTGGGACTACAGGTGTGCACTAGCACACCTGGCTAATTTTTTGTATTTTTAGTAGAGACAGGATTTCACCTTGTTAGCCACAATGGTCTCAATCTCCTGACCTCGTGATCCGCCCACCTCAGCCTCCCAAAGTTCTGGGATTACAGGAGTGAGCCACCGCTCCTGGCCGACACACATTTTTAAATGACCAGATCTACTGAGAACTTGCTATCACAAAGACAGCACCAAGCCACGGAGAGATCCAGCCCTATGACCCAAACACCTCCCACCAGGCTCCACCTCCAGCATTGGGGATTACAATTCAACATGAGATTTGGGTGGGGACAAATACCCAAACCATATCAACCACCATACAATCTTCCCAAACAGGAAACCAGCATTGACACAACACTGCCATCCAATGTGCAGTCCATTCACATTTTGCCACACATACTCACAGCATTTTGTACTTGTTTGTGCCTGGGATCCCATTGGGAAGCATGTGTTGCATTCAGTTTTTTGTGTCTCACTAGTCTCCTTCATTCTGGGACAACTCCTCAGTCTTTCTTTGTCTTTCATGCCTTTGACAATCTGAATGAGTACCGTCTTTCATTATGGAGGATGATCCTCAACCTGGCTCATGAATTCTTGCAAAACATACACAGACATGGTGCTGTACTGCTCTCAGTTCAACACACTGGGAGGCACAAGTCCCCAGCTCATCCCACCGTGATCACCTAGTCGAATTGGCGTGCACCAGCTTTGTCTGCTGGGTCATCATGTTTACTTTGTATGTGATTTGAACTTTGTAAGGATATATTCTGAAATTGCATCAATGTCCTCTGCCTTATCAAGCTTCCACCCACCAACTTTAGCAGACATTAATGACTCCTGCCTGTATTAACTGTCATGATGGCTGCCTAATGGTGGTCATTGATGCCCCTAAATATGAATTGGTATTTGGCTGCAAGTAAGCACTTGCAAGTAAGCACTTCCTCTTACCTCCAATAAATCAATTTCTTAGCTAAGTAATATCAGTGTGGATGCATGAACTTCTCTTTTATTAGATAGACTGTATTTGAAACTACAATTCTGATGCTGAAATTGCCCCTGAGTTGTGAGGGCCCCTCCACGCTGGCTCCTGGGAAATGTCCTTGTCATTCACTGTGCATTCTTCTACTTTCTGACACAGTAAGGTTTTTAGGCCTGTCTTCTACTTTCTCTGCTCCAAGCCTTTCTACTCTCTGGGCTCCATTCCTTCAGAAAGCCCTATTTTCTTTTTGTGCACCCTGGTATTCAGAGCTGGGCACTTGGAGTAGCATTGTTACGGGGGCGACATTGCTTCTGGGTCCTCTTATTTGACAGAGTCCTTTGCATATATTTCCACACACACGCATATGCCTTTACAACTATTTCCATATCTTCTTGTGTATCTGTGTTTTTAAAACCCACGTGTTCATTCTGGTACTTTCAACTTGAGTTTAACTGCTCAGGATTCTTTCTAGCCTCTGCTTTGTAAATCTTTGCTCTGATAGTGACAAACATGGCTCCCATTATCCTTAATATATTTAGTTAAGTTCCCCATCAGTGATTTGTTTAATGTAACTAATTCCCAATCCATAGCAACTGCCACATCCAGCTGTCACTTCTGCAACCCCCGAGACAGAGCCACTTTCTCATACAGGGTACACTTCCACCAACACCTCCATGCAACCCCTCTCCCTCAACAACCCAGTTTTTCAGAAACCTAGCATGCTGCTACAGCCAACAGTTCAAGGGGTCATTTCATGATCCTAATGTGCACACTTTGTGGATACCAAAATCTCAATTCTTGATGGGAAAAGGAAGGAAGGAAAAATGGAAAGGCAAGGAATGATGAAAAGGCAGTTTATTGATTCTTGGTAAAAAGAGGCTGAAAGAGAAGAGATGGAGAAGAGAGAGGAGGACAGACACAGGTCCACCCAGGTGTGCACAGGTACTTCCGTCACCTGCCATCTTCTAGGTTTCAAATTCGGCTTTCATCCTTCCCCAAGTACTATCAGTTTTTTCCCCTTTCTGTAACTTGACTGTTGAATAAACTACCACTGAGCAAATGTTCAAGATAAGGAAAATAGCAGCAACTTAATCTGAACTGCTGCCTATTTAGTAGAAGTAAGAGTGTTCTTGTTAAGCTACCTTGAGAAATCTTTGGATTTTGATAATGAATTATTTTAAGGCTTTTGGACACAATGGTTGACCCTGAAAACTATAAAGTGTGACTCTAATGTCTTTATTTGCAGATTCGGGAAATTAATCATGAGTATTTAGACTATGTTTTTGGAAGATGACGGTTAAGGGCATTTAGAATAATAATCTGCATTTTACAGTAACCTCATAGGTGCTGGGTTGTTCTTTATCAACTTGGTCAAGCTGAGGATTGTCCCCAAAATCCCAACATTTCGTGGCTCTGAATTAGAAATGGCCAAAGAGACATCTACCTGTGTGTGACCTGGAAGGTACAGGTGAAGCAGGACAACTGTTTCTGAAGCTCTTTACACAGTGGATGACAGACTAACAAGGAGGTGTCAGGTAGGGTCCCTCATCCTCATTCTCCTCCCTAAGAGCTGCCCAGGGGACCACAGCAGCCCCAGGTCCACTGCCAGATGCTTGGCTGCCACCCCGTGGATGTGTTAGCCACATAGAAGAAAGAGCTCCCAAGGACCTTTCCAGGGGCTCCCCATCGGGGTCCCACTTTAACTGCTGACGTCTCAGGTTGACTGGTTAGTCACCATGTCTCTGTCTTTCCTCTTGGACCTTGGCTCCCCCAGCACTGTCCATAATTATACACAGCCTAATTCCTGAGATAAATTCTTTATCCCATAACAGAGCAAATCTGCTCCCCCATCAAACTCCAACTGACCAGCTCCTACTGTGATGCTTTAATTGGCTAGCAAAGCTCTTGTGAAGTACTGCAAAATGGAAAGCCAGTAAAATCTTGTGTGTTTAAACTACAGCCCATACAGGGGAAGCCAGTGATTTACTCCTATTTAGTGAGGACACAGTCTCAGGGTCTCCATTTGCTTGAACTAAAGTGTGAGGATTATGAATGTAATCCACAGTACACATTTCTAAGGCAGAGCAGGCCTCATTTGTCAATGTGGCTGAGTCTGCAAGTGCCATGAAATATAGCATTTGCCATTTTTTTCAGGGAACAGCTTAGAGTAAGCAGCTATAACAAGAATGTATTAGTCTGTTCTCACGCTGCTAATAAAGACATACCCAATACTGGGTTTATAAAGGAAAGAGGTTTAATTTACTTACAGTTCAGCATGGCTGGGGAGGCCTCAGGAAACTTAAAATCATGGCAGAAGAAGAAGCAAACACATCCTTCTTCACATGGAGGCAGCAAGAGACGTGCAGTGTGAAGTGGGGGAAAATCCCCTTAGAAAACCATCAGATCTCATGAGAACTCACTCGTTATCACGAGAACAGCATGGAGGTAACTGCCCCAATGATTCAATTACCTCCCACCAGGTTCTTCCCATGACACATGGGGATTATGGGAACTACGGCTCAAGATGAGATCTGGGTGGTGACACAGCCAAATCATATCAAGGAATAAACTTCTAATTCGCTTCTGAGCTTACCATCCCTCCTGCTGAGCACTGGTGTTTAGCCTGGTGTTTTTCCAAATGCAGGTCATGAATAATTAGCATATTATAAAATAAACTTAGTGGGAATCAACCAGTACTTTATTTTTTCTGTAATATAATAGAACAAAGGAAATAAAAAATATATCGAATCTCCTTGCAAGTGGTAAGAGTAACTTTTTTTTTCCTTTGAAAGTTTGAAATCACGTGTTGTACCAGATCAAAACAGAAAGTGCATTGCTGGCTGGAAGCGGTGGCTCACGCCTATAATCCCAATACTTTGGGAGGCCGAGGCAGGTGGATTACTTAAGGCCAGGAGTTCGAGAGCAACATGGTGAAACCCTGTCTCTATTAAAAATACAAAAATTAGCTGGGTGTGGTGGTGCGCACCTGTAATCCCAGCTACTTGGGAGACTGAGGCAGGAGAATCACTTGAACCCGGGAGGCAGAGGTTGCAGTGAGCGAGATTGCGCTACTGCACTCCAGCCTGGGAGACAGACTGAGACTCTGTTAAAAAAAAATAAAAGAAAGTGCATTGCTTCCTGCGGTCACAGTAAAAAGTTTGACTACCATCATCAAACAAGTAAGGCAGTTGTGTAGGGAACAGATGAAGACAGTACAAATCCTCTTTCCAAATCTCTTGGAGCCAAATGTACTTCAAAATTCATCCTTTTCCAGAATGCAGAAAGACACATGTTACATACATGATGTACCGCTTGATGCAGACACTAGGCATTGGCCCTGTTCAAACACACACATGAGGACAATTCGCACTCACAGGAATGGTCTCCCTTCAGCTACCAGGTGACTTCAGGTCAGGTTTTGCCATCACAAAACTAGGCTAAAATGTTTTCAGAGCATTGCAATTTTGAGACTGCAGGTGAGGGATCTCAAAGGCTGTACTCAAATCTATTATAACAAGCTAAAAGTAATTAGCTATAAAAAATTCCAAATTTTTCAGAAATAAAATAGTAATCAAATGAGTGATAAATAGCTCTGAGTTTTTAACTGTCAAAAGGTAAAGCTTCTGTTAAGCAAATAAAATAAATGAAAATATAAATTTGTAAAGCACATAAAATAGAGTGGTAGACATACTACAAATAGAATCACCCAAGAATATCTTTAAATATGTTTCTTCATGCAGTTCAAGTGTGCTTTAATTTTCAGAAATGGGTCCGGTAAACATTTAGGGTAATGCAGGATTGATAGGCAGTCAGACTGAAGATAGAACAGCCAATTAAGAGACTCCTAGAGTGAAAGAAAAATATGATGTCCACACAACCACCTGCCTGCAAACATTCATAGCAGCTCTACTCATAATTGCCCAAAACTGAAAACAACCCAATTATCGACCAACCAATCAGCAGATAACTGATTATATAATGTCTATATAATGGAATACCATTAGCAATAAAAGGGAATTATCACAATGTACCCCATAAATATGTACAATTATTATGTATTATTTATAAATAAAAATTAATTAATTAAACAGGAATCAAGTATGGATACTTGTGACTCTATGGATAAATCTAAAAGGTTTATTCCATGTGAAAAAAGCCAGACACAAAAGGCCATAGACTCCATGATTCCATTCACATGACAATCCAGAAAAGGTAAAGCCAGAGAAAGAAAAATCAGATCAGTGGTTGCCACGGGCTGGGGGAAGAGGTGGGAGGTTGACTGCCGAGGGCAGGAGACTCTTTTTGGGGATAATGAAGATAACACACATCCTGACTATGGTGGTGGTTAAATGATTGTGTATATTTTCAAATTCATAGAACTACTCACCTAAAATGGGTAGAATTTTAGGAATGTAAATTGCACCTCAATGAACCAGAGAGAGGGAGAGAGAAAGATGGGGAGAGGGGCGGGGGTGAGGGAAGCACAGAAGCAATTTAGCATGAAACAATAAAGACCGCAAGTGTGGTGAGTAGGAATAGAGAGGAAAAGCAAAATCTGAGAAAACATAAAAATGTAAATGAAGAAATCACCACCAAAATCTAACAAGTACTTCATACAAATGAAATATTTTAAACAAGCTACATCTGTAAATATGTAGCTGTTGAAAATAACAGAAATTGTACTAAATGGTAGGCATTGTTTTCTGACATCTCAACATTCAGAAAGAAATATGGTCAGTAAAGGTCCTTGAGCCCTTTTCTGCAGTATTTCAACAGAGCTGCTTCAGTGGTTTCTCCCTGGGGATTTCCCTAATAGAAAATTTATGGCCAGGATAAAATTAACAATGCTGGATTCAGAGGAAACTGTTTCTACTGCGAATCCCTTTGCTTAAAATTCTGGGAAATTATGTTTTAGTAGTTCAAGACCTATTACAAAATCACTGATTTATTGAATTATGGCTAGGTTAATGAGATATTCTCCTAAACAAAGATTTGTTATTTTTATAAATTAAAAAAATAATAAAATAAACAGTCCCAGAGTGAGCTGTGGCCACTGAGATTTGTATGCCTACACATTTGAACAGTGTGCATTTCTATCTTATTTGCAAGATGCCAGCCTTCTGCTCCAGCCAGGTCAGATTCCTCAGCGATGTGCAGGCAGGTCACACCCACCTCAACCTCACTGCTGTCCCTGTCCTTTGTAGACTCTTCCCTTCCCTGTGCAAATATTGACCCCTCTTTAATTCATCAAGATGAATCCAGCTTCCCGCAGTAATTATCTCCCTTCCAGTCCAGATGCAAGGGTCTCTCTGCATGGGTTCCTTGGTAATTCAAGTAAATGCTGTCCATATGAACAGTGAGCTTTGGGGCATCTATTTCAGATGGGTGAGCAGTTCAGGATGAGACCATTTCTTCTTCTTACCTACTTCATCATTCATGCTCATCTCAATGTTGGCTATAAGGTACGTTTTTAACAAACATTTTTAATTGAATGGTATAAGAAATCATCATTTATTATAGTTGTTAAATTTGGTGGGACCGAATGTTCAGTAACAGCTAACTGTTTATACTGTAATGAATTTCTGCTTTTAGCATTCAATTTCACAAACACATCTGTTAAATATTCTTTGGGCATCTACTAAATGCTAGGCACTGTGATGACCTTGCAGCTTCCTCCTGATACCCAGGTGCTTTTGTTACAGTAGGTAGCTAGTCAGGCATGAGTGAGGCAGGAGAGGATTGCCCCCACCCGCCACCAGGAAAGTCAGGTGAGCATCAGATGATGGTCAGGTGGTTGTTAACTGTCTCTTTAAAATAGTAATTGGTCGCAGCCAGCAGCAAGGAAAGGCCGTCTCCGTATAGATAGAAAGACACCCGAAACTGGTGATCAGCAGCTTCCTGATAAAATCCCAGGAGGTGGGTGAATGGGCTCAAGCATGTGCATTAAGAGGCAAAATGGGCCAAGTGCGGTGGCTCACACCTGTAATCCCAGCACTCTGGAAGGCCGATGGGGGCGGATCACCTGAGGTCAGGAGTTGAGACCAGCCTGGCCAACATGGAGAAATCCCCTCTGTACTAAAAATACAAAAAAAACAGCCAGGCGTGGTGGTGGACGCCTGTAATCCCAACTACTTGGGAGGCTGAGGCAGGAAAATCGCTTGAATTCGGAAGGCGGAGCTGGCAGTGAGCTGAGATCACCCCACTTAACTCCAGCCTGGGCAATAAGAGCAAAACTCCGTCCCAAAAAAAGAAAAAAAAGGCAAAATAGCAGAGTATGACCTTCCAGGGACATTTCGCAGGTAAAGGGAAGCACGCCTCAAGTGATCATGCAAACAACTCCAGTGAAGACACTGCGCATGCTCTCTTCCCAAGTGCGGGCAGGCAGCTGTGCATGTGGGCAGCCCACCCCAAAGGAAGAAGAATCAGGAAAGAAGGGGCGCAAGACTCCGGACGTATGCCAACGCATAAAACCCCAAGTCAAAAGCTCAAACCACACATCTGTCCTCCAAGATGCCTACTTGGCCCCTTCCAAGAGTAATTTACTTTCGTTTCATTCCTGCTCTAAAGCTTTTTAATAAATGTTCACTCTTGCTCTAAATCTTGCCTTGGCCTCTTTTTCTGCCTTGTGCCCCTCAGTCAGATTCTTTCATCTGAGGAGGGAAGAATTGAAGTTGCTGTAGACCCGTATAGATTCGCTGCCAGCAGCTCGGGATACCTGCCACCACTAACATTTTGATGTTAGATGTCTGCAGATCCCACAATCCCTCCCTCTCTTTCCTGAGATGAGAGTCTGTAATGAAGAATTTGCCCGTGCTCTTGCATGGTCATTCCTCCCCCTGAAGCCTCAGTGGGCTGTCATTTGCCCAGAGGCAACATGTGTCCTCCAGGCACTTAGATGCCACTGGCTTCTAGCTCCCACCAGGTTATTTGGTAGAAAGTCAACAGCCTCATGGCCGAGCATGGTGGCTCATGCCTGTAATCCCAGCATTTTGGGAGGCCAAGGTGGGTGGATCACTTGAGGTCAGGAGATCGAGACCAGCCTGGCCAACATGGTGAAACCCCATTTCTACTAAAAATACAAAAATTAGCTGGGTATGTTGGTGCGCACCTGTAATAACAGCTACTCGGGAGGCTGAGGCAGGAGAATCGCTTGAACCTGGGTGGCAGAGGTTGCAGTGAGCCGAGATTGCACCACAGCACTCCAGCCTGGGCAACAGAGCAAGACTCCGTCTCAAAAATAATAATAATAATAGTAAGTCAAAAAAGAAAGTCAATGGCCTCATGAGGTTGTTCAGTGACCACACCAGAGCCCCCCAGCTGGAACAGAGTGCCGGGGAATGGTGCCGTTTGTTGGGGTACCTGTGCAGCAGTAGCAGTGCCGTGTGGGGTTGGTGATTGTGGGGTTGCCTCACTCAGGATTTGCATTGGAGTGATCCTCAGTTTAACACCTGGGAAATGGGGCGCTCCCTCTGACCTGCACATTTCATCTCTACCCAATGGACTACCAGCAACAGGTGTAATGGGTGCTGATGATGTTGTTTCTGTCTGTCTCTAAAACTCAGAGCCAGGCACGGGCAGGCTCACGCCTGTAATCCCAGCACTTTGGGAGGCTGAGGTGGGCAGATCACCTGAGGTCAGGAGTTCCAGATCAGCCTGGCCAACATGGTGAAACCCTGTCTTTACTAAAAATACAGAAAATTACCCGGGCGTGGTGGCGTGTGCCTGTAATCCCAGCTACTTGGGAGGCTGAGGCAAGAGAATCTCTTGAACCCGGGAGGCGAAGGTTGCAGTGAGCCAAGATCATGCCATTGCACTCCAACCTGAGCAAAAAGAGTGAAATTTCATCTCAAAAAAAAAAAACAAAAACGAAAAAAAAAAGAAAGAAAGAAAAGAAAAGTAACTTAGGCCAATGTGCAGATGACTCAGAACACACACTAGTATTCCTGGGGACTGGGAGCAAACACTAACCCTTCAGACCATGGGTCCTAGTAATAGTGAATGAGTCAAACAGAGCAGCCTTCATATTACCTACCACTATTTTCCTTCAAAAAATTAAACTCCTGTTTTCTGGAAGGTGCTGGTGACCATCTGACAATGTGGGGCGAGGCCTGACCATTGGGTTTCAGATTTCTAAGGACAGGTGTCTTCTTATCCTCCCTGCACTGCAGTCTCCATCCATTAGTGTTCTAATACAAAAACACCAGCAAATCCACTGAAATTACACTCAGTCCAATATGGAATTCGATTATCTGTGTGGATTTCTAAATAAATATATTTAACTGGTCAGAGTAGAGTGCAGAGAAGTTTTCAAACCCAAACATTTCTCATGATGGCCGAGTGAAAACAATTTTCTCTCTGTTTATGGCAAGCAGGTCAATAAACAGCATCTGGAAGAAGCCACTGGAAGCCGTATGTGAGGCCTCCCTGACTTCCTAATTTAATGTTGCTGCCTCCCTGTGCTACTGAGTAGACAACTGACCAGGGTTTGCCATTTGCCCTCTGAGTGACACCCTCTCAGGTCTCATGGCTCACAAATTCAGGATGTTAGTTCACTGATCCTTGCTGTGTGAGGTCCGGCATCACCGGCCTCCACCTCATGTCTGAGAAGAAGGTTCCTGTTGGTTCAGTTCTGCTCACCACCTACTGCCAAAAAGAGTTGGGGGTGAGGTGTGGTATGCAGGATTGTTTACTTCTCTGCCATGGCCTTCCACATAATCTCTGCTGAAAAAAAGTCTCTCAACCACCCCACATAAGGTGAGTCACTCCTAATTCACTACAGCAATAGAACGATGCAATGTCTATCCTCAAATCCTAAGACCCCTGAATGAAAAAGTAAAAATGCTAAACATCACTGCCTACTCTGATAACCACACTGCTAATAGTGTTGTGGGAGGAACCCGGTGAGGGATAACTGAATCCTGGGCTTGGTTTCCTCCATATGGTTCTCATGGTAGTGAGTAAGTCTCAGGAGATCTGATTTTTTTTTTTTTCTGAGATGGAGCCTCGCTCTGTCTCCCAGGCTGAAGTGCAGTGGTGCAACCTCGGCTCACTGCAACCCCCACGTCCCAGGCTCAAGCGATTCTCCTGCCTCAGCCTCCCGAGTAGCTGGTATTACAGGTGCCCAACACCATACCTGGCTAATTTCTTTGTATTTTTAGTAGAGACGGGATTTCACCATGATAGCCAGGCTGGTCTCAAACTCCTGACTTCAGGTGATCTACTCGCCTCAGCCTCCCAAAATGCTGGGATTACAGGCGTGAGCCACCACACCCGGCCCAGATCTGATGTTTTTATAAGGGGTTTCACCTTTCACTTGGCTCTCATTCTCTCTTGCCTGCCGCCACATAAGACGTGCCTTTCACCTTCTGCCATGAGTGTGGGGCCTCCTCAGCCACGTGGAACTGTGAGTCCATTAAACCTCTCTTTCTTTATAAATTACCCAGTCTCGGGTATGTCTTTATCAGCAGCATGAGAACAAACTAATACATTTAAACACTTTTAAGTGCACATGTAACTTCTAAAAGTGTACACTCAAGGTGAAAGGAAAATCCAATCTGTAACCAACAAACTGTAACTATTTAATATATCCCTTCTGAATTAAGGGCAATAAGTCTTTTATGTAATACAATAATTTACATATTTCTAAAGTACGCTTCCTTTTATACAGGAAATGATTGCTCCATGTTAATAAAATACACGGTCTTCAAAGACTTTCTCTGCTATCGAATGATATTGAGGTAGGCTGGTGCAAGCTCCTCAAGTCCTTCTTGGTTATGCAGACAAAAAAATTTAACATAAAATCCTGGCTTACAAACTGTCTATTAAATTAAGTGCAACAAATGTTTATTTTATATCTTCTTTGCATTAGGGCATTGTGCTAAGCACACGCTCATGAATACAGCATTCCACCCTTGCATGGATGTGATCTAAGAGGTAAAAGTTTTACCTAAGAGAGACTCTGTATATATTTAGACAGAGTTTTAGTAAAATATTGTATATGAGATCGAGACCATCCTGGCTAACATGATGAAACCCCGTCTCTACTAAAAACACAAAAAACTAGCCGGGCGTGGTGGCAGGTGCCTGTAGTCCCAGCTACTCGGGAGGCTGAGGGGGGAGAATGGCGTGAACCCAGGAGGCAGAGCTTGCAGTGAGCCGAAATTGCGCCAGTGCACTCCAGCCTGGGCGACAGAGCGAGACTCCGTCTCAAAAAAAAAAAGGAAATAGGAGAAAGAAAGTGTGGGATGAAGTCAGACTGCAACCATAAGGAAAGTTAAAATGTGTGCAGAACGAAGTAGTGAGAGATAATTTGACTGAAAATGTGGGTGGGGGACGTCCTGAATATTAGGTTGGGGAGTTAAAAATTAATTCAGTAGATAGGTGAAAAATTGGATTATAGCTGTGTTTTAGTAAAAATAATTTTGTTTTCTTGTCTAGGAAGAATGAGGTAAGGAAATATTGGAATGAGGCTTAAGATCAGGGGAAGGGCCATTACCTTCCCAGGGAAGGGAGGGTTAGCCTATGCCTGAGTAAGTATAGCAGGAAGTCTGTAGAAAGGAGAAGTGAACATCAATCTTTCAGCCACAGGAAGGTGTTTCTATCAGAGATGCAAATCAGCGTGGTATAGGAGCAATGTCAAGGAGTGGGGTGGGGGCTCAGCAATGCCAAGATGGGGTTGAAAGAAAAGGATTAAGTAAACATACGAAGCCTGGGAGTCCTGCCTGACCAAAGCTTCCCTGGGTCCCTAAGCAATGAAGGATGCAATCAACTGACGCCAAGAAAGGCAGGGAGGCAGAGAATACAACATGTATTTAGGCAGCTTCACATCCAGGCAACGGGATTGCACTGGACACATAAGAAGACCCCAGTGGGGCCTGCAGAGACTAGCAAAGGGAAGCATGGGCTCTATAGTTAAAAAGACCTAACTGCCTTCGTTCAGCTGTCAAGAAGTTACTCAACCTCTTGGAATCTCCACTGACCTGGGAATGAAACAACCAAGCTATGGAAGTCATACAATACTGGGACAATCCTGTAGTTGTTCGCTACTTCAAATATTCTGTGTAAACTTAGGAAGGTGTGTTTGTGTGTGTGTGTGTAGAGGTATATCAGGAAAATGAAGAATCAGGAAGAAACTGTTTTCACTTTATCTAGGATAATGTATTTCCAAAGATTTGGATGGAAAACTCAAACACTTCCTATGAAATCCACCTAATAAAAGCTGTCATTTTAATTGAGCAGTAATGTCTTTGTCTCCAGTAAGGTGCTTCACTGGCTGAGCTTCCTCAGCATAAAATGCCTATGGAAAAGGCATTTTATGGTGGTTAGAGATATCAGAGAGCTAATTTCAGACTTGCACGTAGGATGCAGAACAAATAAGAAATATGAAGCCTTCTCTTGTAGCTGCCTATTAGCACAATTCCCCTAAACATTCCATTTTATACACTCAACACCCAACTGTTACCTCCATATCAAACAGCATGAATTTCCTGTCTACTGTTCATCATGCTGTCTACACCAAGACTTGAAATGTTTCAGTGACATATAGTTCATCTCTTCATGCCCCTCATGAAACCTACAATGTTCATGCTAACACCTCTGACTTTCCTAGAACAGTCAAGGTAATGACCTGGGAATTCAGTTTTTTAGTTCAAGAATGCACTGTTTTCTGTAGGATCTCATTGTCATTCATTAACTCGAAGACTGTTTATATTAGTCATAATGATCCAATTTAGGAAGATGGAGATTACAAATCAGAGAATATTTTCTTCCAGCCATGTTTTGAAAGAAAGAAGTTTTCGTGAAGGATTGCTTATTTTTGCTAGAAGAAAAATAGATATTTTCACCAAACACTTATTAAATTATGTCATTATGCTTGAATAAAGGAAGGTAAAGCTAATTAGTTTCTCTGTTGGAAGTCCTAGGTAAAGCTCTCAACAGCCTAAAAATATAAATCACTTACTTTTGTTACACACACACACACACACACACACACACACACAAACACCTAAATCCACACATACACATGTATATATATTAATTTCTGGCTTTTAATCTGTGTTTCAAGTACACACAAGATACCTTGGCAGATCAGGGCAAATATCGAAATTGATCAATTGCATAGGGAAAGTTTCGTTACAATGATTATATAGTATCACATACATGTAAAAGCTTCTTTCCTAAGAGCTAACTTTTCTCGTTGTGTGGGAGTCACAGGCACTTAAGTGTTTATAGCAAGACTGGAAGAGACCTCTGCCTACTATCTTATGATGAAATGCAGATATCTCATGACAATGGGTTTGAACAAAATCTAAGTCAGAATTCTGGTTAAGTTAGAGGTATGTTTGTCAGTCAGTACTTCACCCAGATTAAAGATTAACCATTTAGTTTGTCTTTGTCTTGGCACGTCAGTTTTCCCTATCAGTGCCTAAGGTGACCATAGTGACCACTAGTCACCGTGTCCTTCCAAACCTTTCATGTTTGCATTTTGGTACCAAACATCAACCACACACACACTAGGCTGGGGATAGGAAAATCACCCTGGCAAACTCTCATCCAGAATGGAAAATAGACGTGCTCCTACTTCTGCCTCCACACATGCGCAGTATCTCTCTTACCTAACCACAACCTTCATTTTTGCCTAAAATCCTTTCAATTCAGTGCCCCAGTCAGCCACTAGCAAAGATTCAGAGTTTTCCCTGGACCCATGCTAATTATAGTATAGAAAACAACGTTAGCATTTAGTACTATGCTCAATTCTTCATGCAACAATGTTTTTCAAATGAAAGAAAAGAATAGAAAAAAGATTTATTAAAAACAAACACATTTCATTAGTGCCAGAGAATATTTTAGTATGTTCACACTAGTCTTATCTGAAAGACCTGAATTCTGTGACTTTAATAAAAGTTCAGCAAATGCCGAAGGATGGTGGTGGGCTGAGGAAGAATCCATCCCATCTGATTCTCTGGTGTTTTCCAAGTTTGCCTCATTGTATCAAAGCAAAAGGGCTCCAGGTGTTTGCTTTATTTTGTATAAGGAATATAGGATAGAATTGCTGCAAATACTTCCACCATCAGAGACCCTCAGGGTTTTCTTTGAGCCTCAGGATTTTCTCTCTGGGCTTTCTAATGGTTGATACCAGGATTCTGGCCTGTGCATGAGCTGTAACAGGGTGTGAAGCAGGGAAGGTAAATCACCTACTTCTATTCACACACACACACGCACACACACACACACACACACACACACACTGCAGGTGACACTAAGAGTAAGGGACAGTAGAGTTACTTCTGAAAACTGCCACTGTGACCTAAAGCAAGAAAGCAGGTTGGATGGTGGCGTTCAGAGTTCAAATCTGCTGTTTACTTCTTTGAGCTGGGTGGTCACATGGTGAAGTACTTTGAACCTTGGTTTCTATGTCCATAAACTAGTGTGGTGCCAACAGCCACTTTAGAGCATTGTGGAGTTTAATAAAACTGATGAATACATAATATGCCCTAGGGTGCTGAGTAGAATATGATTACTATTATTATTGATAACATTCTTATCAAATGGGGGCAAAATGAAATCATTAGTAATACAACTTCATCTGATTGAATCTATCAAATACAAAGTCAGATCCGGATTTTAACTCTATCTTCATAAAAATCACACTTCCACCTCTTCTGCTTAATTTCTCTGTGTCTCAGTGTCAACATATGCAAAACAAAAAAAAAAAAAGGAGAGGCTCTCTCTAGGGTAGGGGTCCCAACCCCTGGGCCTTGGACTGGTACTGGTCCTCGTCCATAGCCTGTTAAGAGACGGGTCACACAGCAAGAGGTGAGAGGCAGGCCAGCTCCACCTCCTGTCAGATTAGCAGCAGCATCGGTTTCTCATAGGAGCGAGAACCCTATTGTGAACTGCACATGCAAGGGATCTAGGTTGCATGCTCCTTATGAGAAGCTAATGCCTGCTGATCTGAGGTGGAACAGTTTCCTTGAAACCATCCCTACCCCTACCCCCATCCGTGGAAAAATTGTCTTCCACAAAACCAGTCCTGGTCCCAAAAAGGTTGAGGACTGCTGCTCTAGGGTATCTGGAGGTCTCAAATTGCAGAATGCTATGACCGAAGTTTAACTCATTGCCCATCTGCTTCCAAGGAATTGACAGAGGGCATGAAGGAACATTTGTAGATTTTGTCATCTGAGAAAGAAATACACTGATATCTGCATCCAAAACCGGGCTTTTAAACTGAGATAAGCTGACAGTGTGTTTTTGAGCTTCTTTGAATTCCCTGACACTGAATGTAAAACTTTCTGTTTATATGTCCAATGTTTACATCAGATTCTCTAGGGATCTAAGACATGACACCCCTCCTCCCAAAAACGTATGAGCCACAGACTTATAAAGGTGTATAATTGGTAATTAAAGTAATAGTATAAATAATATTAGTGTCATTTTGTACCTTAAAAGAATAAATCCAAGCCAAAGATAAAACTGGAATCCAGGTTGTTTCGTTTCATATCACTTAAGAGAGTTTACCACTGAAATCATAGTTCAGGTTTTCCAAAGTGCAGACCCTGAACAGAGGGCTTGGGTGCAGGTGGTTTATTTGGGAAGTCATCCTGGAAAATCCAAAAGGAAGGGATGGAGAAGAGATAGAAGACAAGAAAGAATGCATTGCTCGTGGGTCATGGGTATAGAAAGTTTCTAGGAAGCTTCTGCAGAACCCTATGCAATGTGCCTCGAATTGTCCAAGGAATTGAATGGGGAGCTGGTGCATTTGTACACTACTTCTGTTGCTCACTGATGGGCAACAGGGCTTTTATCCCCAGCCTTTCCAGGCTGCCCCGGGGAGACAGCAGCTATGGGGAGGCACCAACCCATGGGCTGTACTCATTCCAGAATCCTTCCTCCCCTACACGCTGACAGTCAATTATTCACCAAGTTGTAACTTCGAATTCTACTTACCTAAAATGCGTTTGGCATACATCTGCATGTCACACTCACACTGTCCCTATCTTGGTCGAGACATTATAATCACTCTCCTGAACTACTGCAGCAGCTTCCTAGCTGAACTCCTGGCTCATCTGGTCTATATTGCTGCTCGAGTGACATTTCTAGAAGCACATCTAAGCTTACCTTCTCTGGGGTTTACACCCTTCAATGGCTCCCCATTACTACTGAATAAGATTCAAGGCCAGGCACGGTGGCTCACGCCTGTAATCCCAGCACTTTGAGAGGCCAAGGCGGGCGGATCATGAGGTCAAGAGATCGAGACCATCCTGGCCAACAACATGGTGAAACCCCGTCTCTACCAAAAATAAAAAAAATTAGCTGGGCATAGTGGCGCGCTCCTGTAGTCCCAGCTACTTGGGAGGCTGAGGCAGGAGAATGGCATGAACCCAGGAGGAGGCAGAGCTTGCAGTGAGCCGAGATCACACCACTGCACTCCAGCCTGGGCGACAGAGCAAGACTCCATCTCAAAAAAAAAAAGATTCAAACTTCTTGGCATTGCCTATAAGATACTTCCTGACATGGTTTCCACTCCATACCCAGATTTCATGTCTTATCAAGTGTGGCTTCACACTTTATCCCTAACAGTTCAGATGGATGAATGCCAATGAAGCCATTCTTCAAAACTCTGCCCAGATGTTCCCTGAAGTTAAGCTTTCACAGACAACTCCCATCCCTGTCCCCCAACTATGCAGCCAGGCCTTGCCTCAACCTCACACATTGACCTACTCCTTCTTCCACTTCTGTAATATAGATATCATTAGAATAGCACCTGGTACACAGCAGCAGCAGCTGCTCCAAAAACATTTTCAAGTGATTGAACTAAATGGTAGCATGTAACTCATAAAAATACAAAATATAGGAGTTATGTGTAAACATAAAATATAATAGTCAGTTACATGATACCGTTTAGTTATGTACCTTATGTTTACATATAGAGGAGATATGTATAAACATAAAATATAAATGGTATCATCTCTAAGACCAAGACCTATTCTTCCCATCATCCCTAGCACCCAGCATTGTTGTCATAATGTGTGCTCAACAAACCCTTATGGACACGTACAGCATGGTAGATTATGAATGAATAGAAGGTAGAGCCCATAAAACCGAGTTACCGCTTGCTTTTGCCTCTACTAGCTGTGCAATCTTGGGTAAAATACTTAACTTCTAAGATTTGACTTTACTCATTTGTAAGATGGAAAAGGTCTACTGTGTAGATTGTGTAGTACTTCCCCCCAGTCACTCTCCTTTCTTACGACGGTCTTCTATATCCCTGTGTGTGATGTGTGGCTTAGAGTGGAACCCTGTGGGAGGAGCGTGCTTCTGTGCCCACAGGCCTTGGGCTTGGCACCTGGAAGTAGGCAGAGGTGGCATACTTCACACTGAGCAAATGCTTCAAGAGCCACTGCCTGGTATGGCCAAGGCATTTCTTCTTCAGCCACAAGAAAGCCATGTACCAAATGAGGGCTGTGTTTTAGCCTGGATCCCAGGATGGAGCAGGCACTGGAGAAGAGCCACAGTCAATCCACAGCCTCTGCAGCTGACATTTAATACGAGCAAGAAATCACCCTCTGGTCTTTTAAGTCACTGAGATATGGGGTTGTTCGCCCAGCATAACTCAGTAGAATCTGACTCTGGAAGTTGTGGGAATTCAATAAATCCTAAAGCAAAGTGTGAACACAGAAGCCAGCATAGTGTAAGTATTTGATAAATCACACTTCCATTCCTGTGATGTTTATCTGAAAACTCCAAATATAGCCCAGGGGTGGGCAGGAAGCACAGGCTTAAAAATGTTCAAAGAAGAGAATAAATTAATATTTTGGTCTTAATCTTAAATAACAACTTAAAAAAATCATTTTTCCCAGTCATTTCCCCGATTATAAACTACTTTGACAAAATTTTACATTATAATTTCAAAATAGGTTGCTAAACTTTTCAGGAATATTTATGCACATACAGTCTGAAAGAATTAAAGAATTTAGAAGCCCATCTTTCACAAATCTAACATAAGAACAGGGTTAATCATTGAATTAAGACAGAGGTACTGTGTATCTCTCCATGCCATGTACTGCGGGCTTATAAACTTACAAGGTTGGCCAGGCGTGGTGGTTCACGCCTGTAATCTCAGCACTTTTGGGAGGCGGAGGTGGGTGGATCACCTGAGGTCCGGAGTTTGAGACCAGCCTGACCAACATGGAGAAACCCTGTCCCTACTAAAAATACAAAATTAGCCGGGTGTGGTGGCACATGCCTATAATCCCAGCTACTCAGGAGGCTGAGGCAGGAGAACCGCTTGAACCCGGGAGGCAGAGGTTGCAGTGAGCCGAGATCATGCCATTGCACTCCAGCCTGGGCAACAAGAGCGAAACTGTTTCAAAAAAAAAAAAAAAAAACTTGCAAGGTGGACCACATTTCTCTTCCCTCTACTCTCAGGAGTGAGCCGCCTCCTGAGCCCATGGCAGTGTGGTGCCTGAGTACTGTGAGTTGTAGTGACAAATGACACTTCCAGAAGCTGCTGCAACGTAATGACAAAAAGACAGTGGGTCCTTTCTCTCTTGACTTTTTCCTAAGTCCACTCTTTTATAAGCACTCTCCAATTTCCCTATTAAGAAGTCATTAATCTATCCCACAAACATCAGATTAGCTAGTATATATCAGGCATTGCCCACGGCACCAGGGTATTAAGAGAGTCTCCTCCTTACATGTTCAAGAATGTGAAAAGAATTATGAGAAGAGGTCATGCTCCTGGGAGTGGGCCATCAGGACAGGTTTTACTGAGCAATAATATCTAAAACTTGGGAGGTGGTTGGAAATTTCTTTATGACATAGATGCTGGGGAAGAGGCTTGCTGACAGACAGAGCTATGGAAGGCTGCGGTCACCCCAAAAGACAGAGCTAGGCCTTTTGAATTATGTCTACACTGAAGGAAAAAAAACTAGGGATATTTGTTATCTCATTGCAGAAGGCTATTTTCAGGGTGATTTCTATTTTAAAATGTTCTTTGAAGGAGCAAGATATTTTGTTCCACTATCCAAGTGGAGCATCAAATAAAATCACATACAATAATGTTAATCATAAGGTAATCTGAAGTAATGTTCTGATTACACAGAATGACTGAGAATATCGTCTTTGCTTTTTAATTAAAAACGGGCAAGAGATCAGTAAAATATTGTTATTTTTAAATAGACAGCAATATGATCTCCCAGTAAGCAAAAACTTTGATTTCTGCTGGCAAATTAATATACTCAAGCCTATTTACTTGGTGATATATTTTTCCCAGACAAAAAAACGCAGCCTTAGATAGAGAAAATTGTGTTCAGAACTCACTGAGAGATCACTATGATAGATATTATAAGAACTTTTTTTTTTTTTGAGACAGAGTCTTGCTCTGTCGCCCAGGCTGGAGTGCAGAGGGGCGATTTGGGCTCACTGCAACCTCCGCCTCCTGGGTTCAAGCAATTCTGCTGCTTCAGCCTCCTGAGTAGTTGGGACTACAGGCACATGCCGCCACGCCTGGCTAATTTTTAGTATTTTAGTAGACACGAGGTTTCACCATGTTGCCCAGGCTGGTCTCGAACTCCTGAGCTCAGTCAATCCTCCCACCTAGGCCTCCCAAAGTGCTGGGATTACAGGAGTGAGCCACCACGCCCGGCCCAAGAACTTTCTTATATCCTGTCTTTTGTCGCCTTCCTGAGCCCATGGCCGTGTGGTGCCTGAGTACTGTGAGATGTAGTGACAAACGGCACTCCCAGAGGGAACATTTAAAATCCAGTCTGAAATTGTCCAAGTCCTCTTTCAATGCCTAAGTGAACTTTGAAATTTTATAATTTCAGAACAGGTTGCTACACTTCCCAGAAATATTTGTGTATTATCTGAAAGAACTGAAGAATTTAGAAGCCCATATTTCAGAAAGCCACCATAAGAACAGCATTAATCATTGAATTAAGAAAGATGGTCTGAGCATGGTGGTTCACGCCTGTAATCCCAGCACTTAGGGAGGCTGAGGCAGGTGGATCACCTGAGGTCAAGAGTTCAAGACTAGCCTGGCCAACACGGTGAAACCCCGTCTCTAATAAAAATACAAAAATTAGCTGGGTGTGATGGCGGGTGCATGTAATCTCAGCTACTTGATAGGCTGAGGCAGGAGAATCGCCTGAACCCGGGAAGCAGAGGTTGCAGTGAGCTGAGATCACGCCGCTGCATTCCAGTCTGGGCAACAAGAGCAAGACTCTGTCTCAAAAAAAAAAAAAAGATGTATTTGTTTCAAGCATCATGTTGAGATGAAAGCACTGTGAGAATGCAGCCTACCAATGACACACCCCGTGGAGGCGAGCTGCCCCATAGAATTGTCTATTCTCCTCATCAGATTTTGCAGGAGTGAGAAAGAAACATTTGTTGTATTAAGCCACCAAGAATTTGGGCCATTTTAGCTCCAAGCTTGTTGGTTTCAAAGCCACCCTCACTGATTACACATGATTAGCACAGGCAGGGTGTCCACGAATGTACAAAGCCACGCCCACCTGGCATCACCCTATCCTAGACTAATAAATGACTGTGATTTGGAAATATTTATAATCATAAGCTTAGAAAATCTGCACAGAAAGGTGAGCTGATTGAAACCAACATTTGATAGGCACAGATTCTTTTTATCTATAATAAAAAAAATTGAGTCTGCTTTTGTTATGTAGATATTACTAATGTAGTACCAGGAGTGGGAGGTGACTGAGAAGATACACAAACCTACATTACAACATTTTCTTTCTATATTACAACACACTTCTGTAATGAAGTCTTACAATAAACTAATAGCCCCACAGAGGGAAAATGTGATTGTGTGAAGGTGTAAATGACACATTATTATGAGTACAGCCACATAAACTGTGACTACGTGTATTTATTATGAGACAATGCATATAATCACACAGCTTCCAGAGAGACAACTGAACAACATCTCAGGGGAGGTCCACCACTATCCCATCTAGTGTTACTGCAAGGAGGGTAGGCAGGGCAGGTCCTCTAGGTCTTCCTTTCAGTATAACAGTTACACAACAGAAAGCGTCTTTGCTTTTTTTATTCTTGGAGAAAAAGCTTTGCAGCTTTAGCTGACTCAGTTACTTCTTTTCATTTAGATGTGATCCCTTTAAAATAATCCGCTGGCAACCAGGTTGATGGATGAACTTCAAAGAAGGACATAGTGATGAAAAGATCGATAGCTTTTAAGACTGCTCTAAAGAACCAGATAGCTGTATTTAAGATATAATTGGAATTTCCCTTTAAGAGAAAGAACAGGTTAAACTTGAGAAGAAAAAAGACAAGCCATATATAACAGTACTGCTGACATTTAGTCTTTGCAACTGTAAATATACAAGAACCTCAAAGATCACTATCTGTCCTGTATTTGAAGGCGCTTGTTGTGATGTGCAGAATACTGTTGGCCCTTAAACGAGAAAACCTGAGATGACATGGGAAAACACAGGATGACATGTTAAGACATCCAAAAACCAGAATGATCACCAAAGGCCCTCAATGGACCCATACTATAAGTACTGAAAAGTAATGGTTGAAACTCTAGGCTCAAAAATAAACATACCCAAGAATTCCATGTGGTATGGTGTTGAAAGCTCAGTCTTTGGAACCAGGCAAACCTGGAACTGTGCGGGATGCTGCGTGGCTGACTGTCTGGGTAGCCTGTGCAATTTTTTCAGGAGTTTTTTTTACCTGCCAGGTGATGACCAAAGTCTACAGTGGAGGTCAACAAATGACAGTAGCCAAATCCTGCCTGCTGCCTGTTTTTGTAAATAAACTTTTAGTGAAATACTTTTACATCCACTGTCTATGGCTGCTGGGAGGAAAGGCTGAGCCAAGGAGAAACAGGGGATGAGCCTGGGCCATCTAACTGTGCAGGAAACACGAAAACGATAGAGTGATGGGTTTGTGTCAAAAGGACGAGAAGTCAACACATATATGTTCCCAGAGGCTGAACGTGAAATAATTTGAATTTACATGAAATGAGGGATTAGAATAACAAACAATATTGCAAACAGACAAATTCAGAAAGTAAAATATTCTGTAAGACAACCGATCTGGTTTCTTCAGAAGTCAATGATGTGAAGAAAAATGAAAGGAAGCTGGAGGGGCTGGGGGGCACTGATCTAAATAAAGAAGCTTAAGGGAAGTGATAATGAGATGGAATGTCTGGGCTTCCATAGCATCCTGTTGCAACCAATACAAATGACATTTTTGAGATGATCAGGAAATGTAAATATTGACTGGGTATTAAATAATGCTAAAGACTTATTTGTATTAGGTATGATGATGGCACTATTCTGGAAGAAATGGCCCATTTGTTTCAGAGATGCATGCTGACCTATGTAGGGATGAAATGACATAGTATCTGAGAACTTCTTTAAAATGTTTCAGCCAAAATAAATAACGTAAGTGTGGCAAAGACTTATTGGAGCTGGGGAGTGGATAGGTGACCTTTTTCTACCATTATCTCTATTTTTGTGTATGTTTTAGATGTTTCATATTATGAAAGAAGGATCAAGGGAAAGACGCTTTAGAAAAAGATTTCACATGGAACTAAAGCTGGGCATGACTTTCCATTCTTTCTTTTAAGTTGGCCTATGGGATCTGACCACCCCAAATCAACTTCCCGCAATACCTTAAGAATTATGAGCACTTACTGAGACAGCAAACAGCGATGGTGCTGATGTAGGTGTTGGTAGGGAAATAAATCATCTTTGAATCAATTAACAAGTGGCAAAGAAACTGCTACCACATGGGTCTACCGATGTGCTATTCTTTATTGCTACAGGAGAAACAATGCATTTTCAAGTATTTTATTATTTCCTTTGTATACTTTAAGTGCTCTGTCAGCTTCATCAATACAGAGACAAACACATTTTCAATATGGTAAAAAGAACTAGTCAAAACCTACTGT